>NC_000010.11:13646363-13797878 GCF_000001405.40 Homo sapiens | reverse complement strand
GGTTGGAAGTCACTTGTGTGTTTTCTCTCTTTCCTTTGTTGGAGGTTTAAGCATGTGCTGAGAGGAACAAGCGTTTTTAGACAATGATGCAGACAGATTTTGTTTCTCATTATCCACAGTCTTGCACACATGCCACACAGCATTAGCTACGGGGGAAATGCAGTGGGGTCAGTTGGGTCTGTTCCATGTGACTTTACTCCATAAAGTGATTATAGGACTGTCTTCTCCAGGATGATGGGCTGACATTGGATACAGAGAGGAGGGAAAGGAAAGAGAGGATTCTTCAGCTTGGTTGTTCCATGGCTTTGCCCCACTCTTCCAAGACCAGCCTCCGAGACATGGCCCCCAGGGCTCTCCCTAGCCTCATGGCTTTCCACTCACAGGACACTAAGACGCTGGGGTCCTCCCTCACCCCGGGGCCTTTGCACGGGCTGGTCTTTCTGCCTGGAAAGTGGTTCCCCTCTGAGGATCTCTTGCCTCAGCCTTCCAAAGTGCTGGGATTAAAGGCATGAGCCACTGCCCCTGGCGGTAAGTTTAACGTTTTCAGACACTGTGTGTGATTTGCTTTTCACTCCAGCAAGATGTCGTGAGGATTGCTAACATGTTTTCAAGTGTGCTTTCAGTCCTTCAGGAAAAAAGGCACCTGGGAGTGTGGTGGAAAGGCGGTTCAGGACAAGAAGGAGAGTTCTGATTACATTTTCGTTTCAGTGTTTCCCTGGGAAACAGCAGGTCTCAATCCCTTCACTTTCCAGTTCCTATTCTTCCCCTCACACCACACAGTATCCACTGCTGACTCGGTATCCCCTACCTAATCCCACTGGGTTCTTCAATACTGAAAAGCTAGTAATAAGGTGAAGGTGGCCGGGCACAGTGGCTCACGCCTGTAATCCCAGCACTTTGGGAGGCCGAGGTGGGCGGATCACCTGAGGTCAGGAGTTTGAGACCAGCCTGACCAACATGGTGAAACCCCGTCTCTACCAAAAATACAAAAATTAGCCGGGCATGGTGGCTCATGCTTGTAGTCCCAGCTACTCAGGAGGCTGAGGCAGGGAATCGCTTAAACCCAGGAGGCAGAGGATGCAGTGAGCCAAGATCATGCCACTGCACTCCAGCCTGGGTCACAGAGCAAGACTTAGTCTCAAAAAAATAAAAACTAAAAAAAAATTAAAAATAAGGTGAAGGTTCAAATTTATCTACGATCCAGCACGTTCTGCTTCATATATACCTTCAACCCCAAAAAAACTTCTGCAAAATGCAAACCCCTAACCAATTTGTCTCTATTTTCTTCAGGGGACACTTAAACTGGCTTCAGCTAGATCGAAGAGTATTGGAACATGACTTCCCTAAAAAGTCAGGACCCGTGGTTTTATACTTTTGTGTCAGGTATGTACACCTGGTGTCTATACTTTTGCTTCTTTGTGTTCTTTATCAGGGAAGTCTGGGAGGGCAGAGTGATTCCAAGGAAAGAGAGCTCAAGTTTGTCTTGGTTCATTGCCAGGGATAAAGGTTGTAGTAGAGCTGCATGCCTCATAGATGGAAAGGCGGGGTGCGAGGGTGCAGGGTGTGCCTGTGAGTGTGCAAGGATGTGTGTATTATGCATTTGCACTAGGATGCTTGTGTGGAATGATGAGAAAAACTTTTTTCTGCACTTTTGGGGAGGGTCACATATCTCAAACAATGAGTATCTTATAGCACAGGCCGTGGGATTCTTTTCTGGGGGCAATTTGAAACTACATAACAAAAGCCTTTGTATTCTTTCCTTTTAGAGGGGATGCCACTTGAATCTCGTGAAACCTGGGTAGTTTATCCCAAATAGGAGTGGTCGAAACCCAGCAGCAAACCACAGGCCCATCTGCATTTCCTGCCAAGGGAGGATACAGCTTAATAACATTTCAGAAACAATAGGCATTTTTCTGTTCAGAAATCTAGTCTAAGAAATTTTGTTTTGTGCTTGCAAAGGGAACGATTTGTGGGCTATAGTGATTTAAATAGTTAATATTTGCAGCTGTCTTATGAAGACAACAGGACTTACCACTTCCGTTTGCAAAAGGTTGTGAGAAGCCAGAGGCTGGGCAGGTCAGGGGTTCAGGGGCAAAGTCTGAATTGGTGGCAAAGTCAGAATCTGAGCCCCCAGTCCAGCAGCTCCGAAACACCCAGTCTATGGAGGCACCAGGTTCTTTCTGTCCAGAACCTTGATTGCAACACAATTACAGAAGCATTAAGTGCTGATGCCTCAGTCTTTACATGGACACTAACACTTACACCCATGCCATACAACTCTGTTCTTTGAAATATACTAACAGAAATTCAGGAGCGAGATACAAATGATATGCAATTCTGTCATTCCTAAAGAGCATGATCAGGAATGCAGTTCCAGACATAGGCATCCTTAAGCCACACAAGGCATTAGAAGGGCTTCAAACAAGAGTTAAAGGGTCCACTTAACAGGCTCGAGTGTATGACTTTTCCTCAGCTGGCAGAGTAAATTTCAACTTGCGCTTAATGCGTTTTTGATTTGTTTAACAGCTGTGAACATATCCAAGCTCATCTTAGCTATTTCCATTACTGATGGGGATGATTTCAATGCCATATTCTCTTTAATGGTGTATACAGTTTCTCAGATTTATGGCAAAGCAACCATATAAAGCAAATAGTAACAATTCCTCTGGGAGGGGCAGGTGGTATCAGGCAGGACTCCAGTTGCATGGAAGCAGGTCATTAACCTGTCATCGCAGGTGGATGAGTGCATTTACCATATATCAGGCTCTCCCCACCTCCCTGGTGATGTTCACCAACATTAGCCAAGAGGAGAAAATCCTGGGCTTGGCTGCCTAGTAGGTGTTTTTTCCAAGTGTCTGAATTATTTGTGGACGTCCTTGCAGGAGAGCTTGGGGCACCTTGACGTTGGTGGTGGAAGTGTCAGTCTCTAAGATACACAGATCTTTCCAAATCACTGCAAGCCTGTCTTCTATGCATAAAAGCAGGTAACCTAGCATTGCAGAGGTTAAATAGGTGCTAGCAATAGAGAGAATTGGGGAATGGGATGACTGAAGACCCAGATGTAACATCCACTTCTGATCCGTAGCCATAATAGACGCTTCCACCATCACCATTGATGGTCGGCCAAAGCAAGAACCTCAAAGAACACTCCTTAGAGAGAAGAATTTCCAAATCCGCATTTAGGGACAGCCATTCTCCACTATGTCTTTATACACGCCATCTGGCAGAATGTGCTCCTTCTCCAGCTCCTATGGAAGCAGATCTTTCTGGAAGTGTCACATTCCACTTGTTTCCTGCAGAGCCCCACCTGAGTACTTCAAACTCAGCAGGTCCAAAGCCAAATTTATTATCTTCTCTCTCCTCCCTTGACCTTCCATGGTCCCATCAAGTCTGTGGCATCGTCATCCACTCAGTCACATAGGCTACACATCTTGAAGTCTTCTGTCTTCTTCCTGGAATTTTTTAATTTTTTTTTTTTTTTTTTTTTGAGACGGATTCTCGCTCTGGCACCCAGGCTGGAGTGTAATGGCATGATCTCGGCTCACTGCGACCTCCACCTCCCAAGTTCAAGAGATTCTCCTGCCTCAGCCTCCTGAGCAGCTGGGATTATAGGCACCCACCACCATACCCAGCTAATTTTTGTATTTTTAGTAGAGACCGTGTTTCACCATGTTGGTCAGGCTGGTCTGGAATTCCTGACCTCAGGTGATCCATCCGCCTCGGCCTCCCAACCTAGAATTTTTATGTGCATTAATTCTCTGCTGCTGCTTCCAAAATCTCCCTCTGTACTGCCCTCTCCTCCTTATTACCTGAACTCAGGCCCTCACCAGTCAGTCGACCTATTGAAGCAGCCTCCAAGGGTGGGGTGGGGCTCATCACCAGGGTCCCAGCCACAGAGGATCCCAGCACCCTCACTACCCTGAGTTCCCACTTCTTAGCTGGCCAAGAAGTGCAGTAACAAAACACCAATCATTTGTTTTCTCTAAGAGAGGAGGCAGATTCTCTATATAGGTGAATTCCGTCTCTTTACCTTGCTTTTCATCCTGGGAAGAATCCTCTATTTATAACCTGACATCTGCCTAGGGATGCTCACAGGCAGTTTTCTCCAAAGGAGTGGTAAGAGAATCATCTTCATCAAAAGCCCAGAACTTGAAATAGGCTTGAGTCCATAAAAGAACTTCTGTCCAGCTGGGTACCTTTCCAGTGTGTTTCTAAACAGAAGCACGGTTGGGCTCTGAGCAGCCTCCCCACTCCAGCCATGGCACCTGCATATCTTGACGCAGCCTGACTCCCAGATTCCTCAAATCCTTTCTCCTTTGGTGTAAATGTCTATATATTACATCTACATACCACATGTCTAGGTAGCCTTCGTTGGCAAAGCAGAATCGAGCCACCTGATAAAAGAGGGCCATGGTAGGCTGGGCATGGTGGTTCATGCCTGTACTTTCGGAGGGCAAGGTGGGTGGATCATCTGAAGTTAGGAGGTTGAGACCAGCCCGGCCAACATGGTGAAACCCCATCTCTACTAAAAATACAAAAATTAGCTAGGAATGATGGTGCATGCCTGTAATCCCAGCTACTTGGGAGGCTGAGGCAGGAGAATCACTTGAACCAGGGAGGCAGAGATCACAGTGAGCAGAGATTGTGCCACTGCACTCCAGCCTAGGCAACAGAGCAAGACCCCATCTCACAAAAAAAAAAAAAAAGAAACAGAGGGTCATGGAAAAGATAACTAACTACCTGAAGGTACATTTTAGAAAGTCAGAGAATGGAGGTACTAACACTGCATGGCTGAGTAACCCAGGTTGGGCTATTATTTGGGATTTATATATTCTTCTGATATAATACATATGCAAAACACCAGGCAGAATCATCACCTCCATTCAACAGATTAGGAAAATATAAGACCCAAATATATTAAATAACATGAATTGGAACTCAGAACCCCTCTCCATCCACGAAGCCAGATAGCATCTCCTCTATAAGCATTTCCTCTGCAGAGGCCCTGAGGCAAGTATCAGGCTGCAGGAGGTTTTGGGGACAGTGGAAGGGAGGACTCAGATCCTGCCTTCATTGACCCATCATTCAGCCTAAGAGGGGCCTGGTCCATCCAGTTTTTCAACCAGCAAATCACCAGGAATGATCCCAGGTGGCTTCAGGGTCTTAATAATTACCCAAAAAGGATAAAGACTGGAGAGGCGGGAACTATCCATTATTCAGCACCTGTCCATTGCTAAGGCTGATTGTTAATCTTTGCAGCAACCCTGGAAGCAGGTCTGATTATTCCGAATTAAAAAGAAGGAGATGGGGGCCCAGGATGGTCCATAAATTCTTCCCCAGCATGGCTAATAAGTTACGAAGGCGAGATGAGGTCTCATCTGTTCGGTCAGGTCTGACTCCAATCCTTGTGTCTGTCCTCCCCTACTGCATGCTGTCTGTCTCCACAGGGGAAAAGTAACATCCTCCTCCAATGTGGCATTTCCAAGAGATCCTGTGTATCCCTTCAGTGTGGCAGCCTGCCAAGACCTGTGGCCAGAGGTCTCCACTGTTCCCTGTATAGGCAGGGCCAGGAGCAGCGAAGTCAAATGCGGCGACCCCAGCCCTCTTTGTGACCCACGCTTGGCCATGTTTGCAGAACCAGCATCCTCCTGCAAAGATGGTGTTCAGGACAAGTGCACACCACCATGAGTGACAGAGCCACCGCCAGGCCTGCCAGCCTGGTTCCAGCACTACCCAACCCAGAGCTCCCCTGGCAGAGTGCCCCTGCACAGGGACAATCACAGTCACAGGTCTTGGCAGGCTGCCACTCTGAAGGGATACACTGGATATCTTGGAAATACCACACTGGAGGAGGAAGAGCCATCTCAAATGGTAAAGCAAGAATTTTCAGGACCTCAGACATCTGCTGTTGGTCTCACTTGAGAAGGTCTTGCCATTTTCTGCATTATCTGACACTGTGGAGACCCGCCGGAAGGTATTCTTTGAACTGTGCTTTTCTGTCTCCTAGAAAGAAAACTTCAGGGTCCACTTGCACCTGGTCATCACCCTGAGCTGTGTCACTCCCGAGACTTACAAGCCCAAATCCACCATCATCCCAGCTGTAGCATGCAGCAGCCTGCTCACTGCTCCTCCTGGGCTGTTTCTGCATCATCATCCATGCCTTCATTTATGGGCTCACAGATGTCCCTTGGCATAAGCACTGCTCTAGGAGCCAAGGACAGAGCAGCGAACAAAACTGATAAACCCTGTTCTCAGGCAATTTCGCGTCCATTTCCTCCAGCTTCTGAGATCCTATCAGCCCTGCCTGTCCTATTTTTTGGCCAATTCAGTGCAAATCCATTGTGCACCCTTCCAACTACTTCCTGACCCTGGACCACACCTCCCTTTGCTGCTCACACTTTCTCTCTCTCTCCCTTTCTCTCACACACACACCCACCCGCAGGGTTGGACTGGTCCTGCCACACACACACACACACCTTTTATTTCTACCCCCGAGCTTCTGAGTGTGTTCAGGAAAATGTTCATGCAACTTCAGGTTGGTTCATGGTTATTGTGATGAACCCCACACAGATCATCATATCTCTAGCCAGTTCTGCCAGGGGTGCCTGCTCAGGGTCTCTGTTCCCCACTGTGGTTTTACCTCTTGCTTCAGGTCCCAGATACTCAAGGCTTTTGCTCTAAGAAGATGTTGCTGCTTATGTTTCTGCAGAGAAAATAAAAGCCAGCACCAGGGAGCTCCTAGTCCTACTTCTTTATCCACAAACTTAATTGTATCTTTAATTGTGTTTTTGTGGCTTCTCAGTCCACTCACTGCACACACGCAAATGCATGAGCGTCTCAGAGGAAGACCCTTAGCCCATCATCCAGCACGCACTGATCCACGTGTACCTCAATCCCAGTCCCTTCTGTCACCTCACAGAGCTTCTCCCTCGAGCCTTTCCTCTCTTTTTCTCTATCTTCTCCTCCATGGATTCCTCCCCTTTGTGACCACGTCCCAATCTAACTGAAGAAAACGTCCTCTGTGATGCACAGCCTCCTCCAGCCAGTGCCCTCTGCTACCCCTTCTGCTCTGCTCACAGCAACCGCCGAGAGATGGGTCTGCACTTGCTGTCACCCCCTCCCCACAGGCCTCTCGTTCCTCATTCTGTGGTCGTCCAGCTTCTGGTGCCATCGTACCCCCTGGTCACTGGAGGTCTCTCGCCCCTAGCTCCACAGGCGTGCTTCTGCCCTGCTCCCATGTGGCTTCTGTGGCTCTGGGCTCATTCGAACATGCTCCCTTTCAGTTCCCCCGGCTCTGTGGCACTACACTCTCCTGGGCCACCTCCTCTTTGTCCCCTCTGTCCCTGGCTCGGGGCAGGTTCCCTGCTCTGCTCTGCTGTCCCTTGAGCCCTGGTGTCCACGAGGTCGTGTCTTGCTTGTCTTCTCTCCCTGCACCTTCCCCTGGTGTGATTTCACCCCCATCCACAGCTGCCACTGCAGTCTCTTTGCTGGAGACTCTCCGTCCTCTGCCCCAGTCCTGACCTCTCTCCCGAGCTCCAGGCCATCTCCACTGACTGGCATTTCCTCACAGATGCAGCTGGAATCTAATGATGTCGTCGTCTTTCTGCATCCAAATGTGCTCCCCTTTCGTTGTCACCTCCTTGTCTTTGTGATGGGCACCATCACCCCTGCAGCCCCCAAAACCAGAGACTTGGGAGTCAACCTTGACCTCACCGCTCCCTCCCGCTTGCCTCCTCCTGTTCCCTCAGTCACTACTCGCTGTTATTCCTGCATCTTAAACAGCTCCCTATCCATCTCTTACTCTCCATACACAGCCTAATAGTAATTAGGGCTTCCATAAACCTCTCCTGGACTCAAGATCTCCTTGTTCATCTCTGCGTCTGGCCTTGACCCCTTCCAAACTCCCCTATATGAAGACACTGAGCATCTTTCTAGAATTCTCATCTGATCCTTGCTCATAATTTTTTTCCAGCTTCCCATTATCCTCAGAAAAGGACATCTTTAGCGTGACTTGCATGATGTGACTTCTGCTTAACTGTCCAGCCTCACCTCTTCCCACTCCCCTCACCACACAACACACACACACACACACACACACACACACACACATTATAAGCAGCCAGCAGCGGTCAATATATGACCAAGAGCACCTTGAACTGCAAACCATTGTTTAGTGCTATAAGGCTTGGGAACAATGTCTCTCTGATATTGTTCACCAGGCAAGCTTTAGAAATAGGTCAAGAAAAAAATATAAGGAAAATATACACAACCCAAGGAAGTCTGCGTCATGTGTGTGTGTGTGTGTGTGTGTGTGTGTGTGGTCTTTTCATAGGCACAACTTTGTGCTCAGAATGAAGCCTACATGTCTGGATTATTCTTTAATTACATTTTCTTCTACCAAGTGTCCTGTAGTTCTGATCATCTCAACTCCTTGTAAGAAAATAAACAGAGATTAGATTTGCCTCTTCAGAATTTGAGTTTCACAGACAATAAACTGAAGCAAGCAGCAAAAAAATAAGAGAGGAGAAGTCCGATCGGGGAGGAAGGATTTTACAGCCAAGTCCACAGGCCGGATTCTTGGTATCTTCCCTGGCTGATGGAGACAGCAGCTGCTACTTCCTGTCACTCGCAATAACAATGATGGCATGGATCTAAAATGAGGTTCCTGCTAACCAGAACTTGCTATATTTCAGCTAGGTGTCCCAGTTAAGATTTTAGAGGCATTGAGATTCTAAGCATCAGAGGCTTGGCTGCAGAAACTCACAGCTTATTGCTTTCATTATCATGGCTCTTATTTGCCACCAAGAGTAGGCATTTTAAATGTGACATTTGTGTTCATTACAAAATGAAATCACTGGTCCATTTAATTAACACTTGCTGTAAATATTCAGTGATTCCCAAGTGCCCAGGGCTGGATGGGGAAGGGAAAGGGAGAGCAGGGAGAATGGAGGAGGAGACCTGGCTGATGTCATCTGGCTGGGCCCTTGCCATCTGACTAGGCAGTGTTCAGTCTATTGCAACCAGAGGCTTTCACTTGTCAAAGAAGGGGACGGGACTCCCCGAGGCTTTAGAGGCTGTTTAATATTTAATAAGCTCAAACACATAAACACAGAGCACCTATTTCGTTCTCCTTCAGACTCTCTGATAAAATATTCTCGGGTCGGGATCATCTGAGCTAGTTTGGGTGGGCTGTTGCTTGTGGAGTCAGGAAACCTCTTAGCAAGGTCTGCGCTCCATCTAGAGTGTTCCTTTAGACTCAAATAGATGCCCTAAGATTCAGTCCTGCTAAGTGTGCCCCCAAAACCCGTTTAAAATGTAGGTCTGATTATGATTCAGCTGTGGTGAGGCCAGCAGATGAGGAGAGGACAGACATTGAAAAGATTGTCACTCAGTTCCTGGGAGAAGGGGCCACACCATGCCACGCAGGGCCATGTGGGAGGCATTGGGGAGCCGGGAAACAATTGGGCAAGAGCATTTTTTGTGGTTTCTTTGGGGAGGAACGGGCAAGGCTGGGAGAGCAGGCTTGGGATTGGCTAGTTTAAATAATTTCAGCGGGCTCTGCAGCATGGGGGCTGCCCCCTAGTTGTCTGGTACGTGTCCCTAGGGTGGTGAGGGCAGGGAAATAGTGGCCCTGGGTGTGAGAGCCGAGAGGTGGTGGGAGGGGTGGACCCTGGATCCATGGTGACATGTGGAAGTCTTGGGGTCTGGAAATTGGCTAACCCTGGCACCAGCAGTCCCTCCAGGCCCAGCAAGGTCACAGACATCCAAGCATCATAAAGCCATGGTCAATACACAGCCAGACTCGGAACTGTCCATGCAGACCCTCTGAATCCGAGACATAGCCTTCATTTATTTCCCTGGTTACCCAGAGACCTGGAATGTTCTTTGTGAACCCTGGAAGCACTCCCTGCTCCATGCTGGTAGTTAAGGAAATGCAACATTGCCACCTACTGCTGAGGCTCTCCTGAAAATCAGAAAAAGAAGCCACTTTTTTTTTTTTTCTTTTTTTTTGAGACAGATCTGCCTGCCTCGGCCTCCCAAAGTGCTGGGATTACAGGCATGCCCGGCCAAAAACTATGCCCGGCCAAAAACTATGCCCAGCCAAAAACTGGATTAAAAAAAAAAAAGAAGAAGAGGCTGGCCTGTAACCTGAGTACTTTGGGAGGTCAGGGTAGGATAATTACTTGAGCTCAGGAGTTCAAGACCAGCCTGGGCAACATAGTGAGACCCCATCTCGACAGAAAATAAAAAATTAGTCAGCATGGTGGCTTATATCTGTAGTCCCAGCTATCTGGGAGGCTTAGACAGACAGGTCACTTGATCCCAGGAGGTCGAGGCTGCAGTGAACTGTGGTTGCACACTGCACTCCAGCCTGAGTGACAGAGCAAGACCCCATCTCAAAAAGAAAAAAAAGAAAAAAAAATTTTGACTTTGAATCCAAACCCTCAGCCCTCCCCATCTTCCCAGGAGGCTCTTGTCCCTGGTGCCACCGGTGTGCACCATGCCTCTCTGGGCGTGCGGGTGGAGAGGTCTGAGCTCTGTTTCTCTGCAGGCGTTTTTGACTCAGCCGTTCCCTGGCAGGGAGGGAAAGCTCAGGATGAGCTCCATACCCTCCCCTAACAGAACAATGATATGACAGGCCCGGAGCTCACGGGGTTTTCCAGGCTGTCGTCTTGGTGATAAAAGTTAACAGGAAACTGCTTTCCACTTCCGTCGAGAGGAGGTGATTTTTTTTCTCTTCATCTCAGAATATGCGTGTTATTTCCTGTACCTTCTCTGCCCCTTTTATGGCTAGACAACAGAGAGCTTGGTGGAAATGAAGGCAGTCACAGAGATGTAGAATTTGCCACCTCAATTCAGTTTTCCATCATATGAGAGTGGAAACGAAAAGGGAAGCGTTATATTTTCTTAATATACTATTCAGGAGAAAATTGGGGTGGAAGAGGCAGGATGTCTTTACTCTTTACTTTTTAAGAACTAAAGCAAATGAGATTCTTTTAAGAAACATATGGCATTACTTTGAAAATTAAGTTATTTCAGACCTTATATGAATTTAGACTCAAAATCATCATTAGAGCACAAAGGCCACCGTCAACTTCAGGAGGCTTCTGTTAATATTCTGGTGTTAGGATTGCTTTCTCTCTTCCTTGCCTCCCCTTTCTCTCCCTTTCCTCGCTTTTCCTTCTTTTCCTTCCTTTAGTTTCTTTTATTATTCTGCCTACCCTTTGCCAGAGGCCCTTTGCAAAGGATGTAGATTTATTTATTTATTTTTGAGACGGAGTTTCGCTTTTGTTGCCCAGGCTGGAGTGCAATGGCATGATCTCAGCTGACTGCAACCTCCGCCTCCCAGGTTCAAGCGATTCTCCTGCCTCAGCCTCCCAAGTAGCTGGGATTACGGGTGTCCGCCACCACGCCTGGCTAATTTTTTGTATTTTTAGTAGAGACAGGCTTTCACCATGTTGGCCAGGCTGGTCTCGAACTCCTGACCTCAGTTGATCCACACATCTTGGCCTCCCAAAGTGCTGGGATTACAGGCATGAGCTACGATATAGATTTATTTTTTGAAAATCAAATCATTAAAAAGTCAGGAAACAACAGGTGCCGGAGAGGATGTGGAGAAATAGGAACACTTTTACACTGTTGGTGGGACTGTAAACTAGTTCAACCATTGTGGAAGACAGTGTGGCGATTCCTCAAGGATCTAGAATTAGAAATACCATTTGACCCAGCCATCCCATTACTGGGTATATACCTGAAGGATTATAAATCATGCTGCTATAAAGACACATGCACACGTATGTTTATTGTGGCACTATTCACAACAGCAAAGACTTGGAACCAACCCAAATGTCCATCAGTGGTAGACTGGATTAAGAAAATGTGGCACATATACACCATGGAATACTATGCGGCCACAAAAAAGGATGAGTTCATGTGCTTTGTAGGGACATGGATGAAGCTGGAAACCATCATTCTGAGCAAACTGTCACAAGGACAGAAAACCAAACACCACATGTTCTTACTCATAGGTGGCAATTGAACACTGAGAACACTTGGACACAGGGTGGGGAACATCACATACTGGGGCCTGTCGTGGGGTGGGGGGTAGGGGGAGGGATAGCATTAGGAGACATACCTAATGTAAATGACGAGTTAACAGGTGCAGCACACCAACATGGCATATGTATACATACGTAACAAACCTGCACGTTGTGCATGTGTACCCTAGAACTTAAAGTGTAATAAAAAATAATAACAAAATAAAAAGAAATTATAAAAATAAAAAAATTTAAAAAAGAAAATCAAATCATATCAAATTTATTTTGCTTTGAGATGTAAAATTTGCTACTGCAATTTTGCTCTCCATTCTTAAAGAACTAAAAGTTGTTTAACTTTACTGTGCCTCTGAGACCATGGTGGGCCCTATATGAAGACCTTGGTGATATAAGACACCTGCTCCAGAAGCAGGGGGCAGGTGCTTGGCAGGGGCAGGGGTTATGGGCAGAGATCAGCCAGTCCATTAATTTTCAGGCTTTACAAGTATGAGGACCACTGCGTAATTCCTCCAAATTTTGTAGAACCTGAGATGATAAGAATTGTACTAATGATATCTGTGGATTGAGAAAATTTAATGTCTGAAGTTACTCCAAATTCACTCACCAATTTCAAAAAAACTTGAATTGTATTCATCACAGCAGCCTCTGCACACATTTGAAAAATGATAGAAAGCTTTATTTATTTATTTAGTGTGTAGACAAGAGGTTGCAAGCTGGTGGGCCATGGGCTTGATGTAGCCTACAGACGTGGGTTTTTATCTTCATGTTTATGCAACAGTAGCATTATTATCCTTCAGGTATGGTAAAAGATACTTTTTTTTTTTTTTTTTTTGAGATAGAGTCTCCCTCTGTTGTTCAGGCTGGAGTGCAGTGGCACCATCTCGGCTCGCTGCAACCTCCCCCTCCTGGGTTCAAGCGATTCTTCTGCCTCAGCCTCCCAAGTAGCTGGGACTACAGGCACCCACACCCACCCCTGGCTAATTTTTGTATTTTTAGTAGAGACAGGGGTTTCACCATGGTGGCCAGGCTGGTTTCGAACTCCTGACCTCAGGTGATTCCCCCCACCTCAGCCTCCCAAAGTGCTGGGATGACAGGTGTGAGCCACCGCGCCTGGCCAATTATGGATAAATCCTTTTATCTTTTACCATACCTGAAGGATAACGCTACCATTGAGCTTTCCTTTCTAAAAAGACACATGAGGTCCTGTATCTCCAGTGTAGGAACTCTCCTCCTCTTCCATTTCCCAGTGGAATCTAAAAGTATCATTTGAAGCTGGACATTCCAAGTTGTTGCCCCTCAGGTGATTGTATTGATTAGAAGAATTCATTTTTAAATTAATTACTATAAATGAATAGAACTTCTTGAAGCTAAGGGCATCAGTTTGTTCACCTTATACGATGTTGGTCTCTTGTTTTTGCTGCTGCTGTTGTTGTTTACATTGTAGTCAGTTTCCAATATTTAAAAACCAGTGGACTTCTTAGGTAGAGAACCACTTCTTCTTTTACGGTCTGAAGAACAGAAGCCCAGCAGGATGATGTGACTGCCCTGAGTCACACAGAGCTGGGGACTCCATCACTGCTCTCTGACTCCCTCCAGAGGATTCTGGCCCTCAGATTATAACACTATTCTAGAAAACTGTAGTACTTGTTTCTTCTCATTTCACCTTCCTCACCTTCTGCCTCTTCTTGGTGAACCCAGTTTCCAAGAGCCCCAGGTACCCAGCACCCTCCTAGTCCACCCTAAGGGTTGCTACACCTGCTCAGAACCTTCTTCCCTCCAAGATGTTGCATTTCAACCTTTCCCCTCTCTTCCTTTCAACTCCTAGTCCTTCAGTGCGGCTGGTCATTAGACAGTACAAGCGCATTATCTCATTAAAGAATTTAATAAACTCCAAAGTCAATATTATAAAGGCACATTTAGTGTAAACTTAAATAATGGCAGCATGTTTCATCTTGAAAATATCTATAAGCTCCATCTAGATGAAATCCGATTCTCATTTGGCTTAATATGCATTCATATCACAGTGTTAAGAGCACTTAGCATAGCTCTCCGAATGTGCAGAAATCAAATCACACTTCACCACCTTCGGGAGTAGTAGTAACCATTTCAAAGAAAGCTGTGATTAAGAAGAAATTATCTTTTAAAAATCCAACTTGGCTGGGCACAGTGGCTCACATCTATTACCCCAGCATTTCGGGAGGCTGAGGTGGGCAGATAATTTGAGCCCAGCCTGAGCAACAAAGGAAGACTCCGTATCTACAAAAAAAAAAAAAAATTAGGCGTGGTGGTATGCAACTGTAGTCTCAGCTGCTCAGGAAGCTGAGGCGGGAAGGTTGCTTGAGCCTGGGAGGTCAAGGCTGCAGTAAGCCATGCACCACTGCACTCCAGCCTGGACAACAGAGCGAGACCCTGTCTAAAAAAAGAAAAAAAAGGAGAAGAAAAGAAAATCCAACTCAATGACAATTTAGGACAAACAAGCAATGTGATGAAAACAAATAACATTATGTAAAATTATAAAGCAGATAGGACAAAGAAATCAGAGGCCTAGTTTTAGAATTTGTTCTTACAAATTGGTGGTAGACCCAGTTCTTTGGTTATGGTGAGGCCCATTAGGCGTGACCCTAAGCCACTATCAAAACTCCAAAAACAGTTTGTCCTCCCTAGGGAATCATAGAAAAACCATGGATGGTGCCTTTTTCCTTTGTTTATTTAGGATGGGGAATGCCAGCTTTCATCTCAAATCATGTAGCTCAAGAGAGCACTTTATTTTCTGCACCTGCTGTTTCTGTGGTTCACGCACCATTTTTCTCTTTCAGGTTCTATATAGAAAGCATTTCATACCTGAAGGATAATGCTACCATTGAGCTTTTCTTTCTGAACGCGAAGTCCTGCATCTACAAGGTAGGAACTCCCTCTCCCTCAATTTCCCTCTGAAACCTGAAAGTATCATTTGAAGCTGGAAATTCCAAAGTGTTACCCCTTAGGCCATTTTATTGATTAGGAGAAGTCATTTATAAATTAATTACTATAAATAAATGGAATGTTATGAAGCTAACGGCACCATTTAATAATGTGATTCCTGACCCGGCGCGCTGGCTCACGCCTGTAATCCCAACACTTTGGGAGGCCGAGGCGGGTGGATCACGTGGTCAAGAGATTGAGATTATCCTGGCCAACGTGGTGAAACCCTGTCTCTACTAAAAATATAAAAATTAGCTAGGCATGGTGGCACATGCCTGTAGTCCCAGCTACTTGGGAGGGTGAGGCAGGAGAATTGCTTGAACCTGGGAGGTGGAGGTTGCAGTGAGCTAAGATCACGCCACTGCACTCCAGCCTGGTGACAGGCGGAGACTCCATCTCAAAAAAAAAAAAAAGGAATAATAATAATAATAATAATAATGTGATTCCTTTGATCCATGGCTGTGTTTCTGGCTCTGTGGACATGTTTCCTAACCTTATTTTAAAGGTCTCCTGATTTTAAAGATTTCTTTGTCAACTGAGACAAAGGTGAAAAGCCTAGACAAGTATGACAAATGCACCAGTCAACTTAGACAGGTCTTGCAGATAGGAATGAGCTTCTTATAACCAAATACGTGTATATTTGACCATTTTTAGTTGGTCTAGCAGCATCTTTCAAAGGGACGCTATTGTCACTTTGAGACAGTTTCTTTTTTAAAAAAAATTGTAAAATGCACATACATTTACTATCTTAACCATTTTGGAAAATATTTTTATATTTCCATAGGTTTTTGGGGAACAGGTGGTATTTAGTTACATGAGTAAGTTCTTTAGTTGTGATTTGTGAGAATTTGGTGCACCCTTCACTCGAGCAGCATACACGGAAGTCAGTTTGTAGTCTCCGCCATTTTTAAGTGTGCAGTTCAGCGGCATTCAGTACACTCACAATGTTGTATAACCATCCCCACCGTCATTCACCCAAGAGCTCTTTTCATCTGCTAAACTGAAACTCTGTACTCATTAAACAACTTCCCCTTCCCCGTTTTCCTCAGCCACTGGCAACCACTACTTTTTGTCTCCATGAATTTAACCACTCTAGTACTTCATATAAGTGGAATCATATATATTTGTCCTTTTGTGTCTGGCTTACTTTACCTAGCATAATGGCCTCAAGGTTCATCCATGTTGGCTGTGTGTGGTGGCTCATGCCTGTAATCCCAGCACTTTGGGAGGCCGAGGCAGGCGGATCACCTGAGGTCAGGAGTTTGAGACTAGCCTGGCCAACATGGCGGAACCCCATCTCTATTAAAAATACAAAAATTAGCCAGATGTGGTGTTTTGTGTCTGTGATTCTAGGTATTTGGGAGGCTGAGGCAGGAAAATCTCTTGAACCTGGGAGGTGGAGGTTACAGTGAGCCGAGATCATACCACTGCACTCCAGCCTGGGCAACAGAGCAAAACTCTGTCTCAGAAAAAAAAAAAAAAAAAAAAAAAAAGGTTCATCCATGTTGTAGCGTGTATCAGAATTTCCTTCCTTTTTTTTTTTTTTTTTTTTTTTAATTTTTAAGACAGGGTCTCTCTCGCCCAGGCTGGAGTTCAGTGGTGCAATCTTGGCTCACTGCAACCTCCACCTTCTGGGTTCAAGTGATCCTCCTACTTCACCCTCCTAAGTAGCTGGGACTACAGGTGTGTGCCACCTCACCCAGCTAATTTTTGTATTTGTTTATGGAGACAGGGTTTCACCATGTTGGCCAGGCTGGTCTCAAACTCCTGGGCTCAGGTGATCTGCCTGCCTTGGCCTTCCAAAGTGCTGGGATTACAGAAGTGGGCCACCACGCTTGGCTGCCTTCCTTTTTAAGGCTAAATAACATTTTATTGTCTGTGTAGATCACCTTTTGTTGATCCATTCATACATCAAAAGGCACGGGTTATTTCCAAAACCTTTTGCCTATCATGAATAATGCTGTTATGAACATGGATGTCTAAATATCTCCTCGAGACCCTATTCCCAGTTGTTCAGGGTATATACCTATAGGTGGTATTGCCAGATCATAGGGTACTTCTATTTTTCATTTTTTGAGGAGCCATCCCTACTGTTTTCCATAGCAGCTGCACCATTTTACATTTCTACCAACAGTGCCCAAGGGTTCCAGTTTCTCCACATCCTCTCCAACATTTGTTATTTTCTATTTTGCTTTATTAAATTGATGACCATCCCAATGGGTGTGAGGTGTATCTCATTGTGGTTTTGATTTGCGTTTCCCTGTAGACTAGTGATGTTGAGCATATGTCCGCATGCTGTTGGCCATTTGTGTATCTTCTTTACAAAAATGTTTGTTCAAGAGATGATTCCTAATTGAGAGCGACAGCCCCTTGTCCTGTATCCAATTGCTCCATAAGCTTGTAGTGTCTCCTTTTGTGGGATGACCCAAAATGCCTACACCCCTTTACAGCACACACCTCCTCCCGGGGAAGATGGACTTGCGGAATATCACTGAGGTTAGGAACTGCGACTAAAAGAACATTTTTTTTTTTTTTGAGACACAGTCTCACTCTGTTGCCCAGGCTGGAGTACAATGGCACAATCTCAGCTCACTGCAGCCTCCGCCTCCCAGGTTCAAGCGATTCTCCCGCCTCAGCCTCCCGAGTAACTGGGATTACAGGTGTGCACCACCACGCTTGGCTAGTTTTTGTATTTTTAATAGAGATGGGGTTTTGCCATGTTGCCCAGGCTGGTCTCAAACTCCTGACCTCAAGTTGATCCATCCACCTTGGCCTCCCAAAGTGTTGGGATTACAGGTGTGAGCCACCTTGCCCGGCCCTAAAAGAACATTTTAAAAAAGAAACACCCACTCCACTGGCTACCCCCGGCATGCACATAACGAATGCAATGAATGTCTCATGAATGCAATCTCCGTCACACCCCCTTAGGGCTGCTCATTAACAGTAATAGACAAGAACGGTTCATTCCTACAAAGTTCACATGATGTGTAGGCTTGTTGCTGAGTGCTTTATGTGAATTGTTTAACTGAGTCTTCACAACGCCTTTTGAGATAGACACTGCTTTTTTTTTTTTGAGAGTGAATTTTGCATAAGTTTATTGATGGTAATTAATTTGGAGGCCAAAATGCATTCTACCTTGAAATAAATCAAATAATACTAAACCTAGGATTTCCCCTTACTCTAAAAATGTAATTAACAAGAAGCGGAAGAGTTTGAGGTATACACCAGCTGACTAATGTAGGGCCACAGAAAGCAAATTAACAGATGTTTTTCTGAATTCACAGCTTAAGTTCTACCTCTTACCTGGGTAAAATGTCAGGGACTCGTCTGAAGTCCTGAAGTGTGAGGATTAGTTAGAATAAAAGTTCTACTAAGGAATTTAAGGGTAGTGCATTCAGTCAGGGCAAATTCCAGATGGACAAACCAGAGAACTTTCAAGTGAAGATTTGATGGGTTTAGCCATTCCTGTGATCTCAGTAAGGAATTTTCTCTTGGTTGTCAGAACATTGATGGAAGATTAAATAAGTCTTTTTTTTTTTTTTCTTGGAGATGGAGTCTCACTCTGTAGCCCAGGCTGTAGTGTAATGGCATAATCTCGGCTCACTGCAACCTCTGCCTCCTGGGTTCAAGCGATTCTCTGCCTCGGCCTCCTGAGCAGGTGGAATTATAGGCACCAGCCATCACACCTGGCTAATTTTTGTATTTTTAGTAGAGATGGGGTTTCACCGTGTTAGTCAGGCCGGTCTCGAACGCCTGACCTCATGATCCACCCACCTTGGCCTCCCAAAGGGCTGAGATTACAGGCATGAGCCACCACACCCAGCCAATTCTTTTTTTAAATAAATAAATAAATAAATGTAAAGCCCAGAGTGTCCTGAATTTTCTAAAAAGTGTTTTATTATTATTATACTTTAAGTTCTGGGATACACATGCAGAATGTGCAGGTTTGTTACATAGGTATACATGTGCCATGATGGTTTGCTGCACCCATCAACCCAAGAGATAGATGCAGCCTTTTATCCCTGTTTTCCCAGTGAATGAAGATGAGATCACATGCCTAATGAATGGCCAGGCTATGGTGCACCCTGGAGGGAGGCTCTCCTCGTGCGCTTGTCTGTGAGGTGTTCGATGGATGGATTCAAAGGAGTCTAGGGAGATACCGCTGCCTGGATTTTAAAATGTAATTAAACTCAGGCCCTAGGGATTGCAAAAACCCATTAAACCTTAACACACACACAAACACACACACACACACACACACACGTTGGAATGGTAGTATCAGCCATCACTTTCCTTCTGTAACTACCTCAACACATTCACTGCACAGAATAGTTCCACCAATTACAAATGTTCAGAATAACGGAGGGCCTGGTAATGATCAAATTCAGTTCTGTGAAAAGACCTCATTTTGGGACAGTTGCTGAGCCAGGACTTAAACTGGGCTCAAACCCAGCACACTAAGAGGACAGCATTTTGGGGTTTTGCCGAATGGAGGGAAAAGATACCATAATGCAGTTCCAGGTACTTTTAGATTCTTTCCTCTAAGACCCCACTTTCTCATTATAAAGTGGAAATAATAATACTGAACTTACATACAGATTGTAAGAGTATCAGGTTTTTTTTTTAAATAAATGTGAAAGCGCTTTGAAACCAAGTTCAGAAATGAAAGGTGAGCAGTCTCCACCAGGTGGCAGCCTTGGGCAGCGAAGTAAATGCATGGCAAGGCTGAATCCGCGAAATCACTCTCCAGCAGGGCAAGTAAAAAATTGTCCCCGGCCCACGCCTGTAATCCCAGCACTTTGGGAGGCAGAGGCGGGTGGATCAAGAGGTCAGGAGTTCGAGACCAGCCTGACCAACATGGTGAGATGCCATCTCTACTAAAAATACAAAAGTTAGCCGGGCGTGGTGGCAGGCGCCTGTAATCCCAGCTACTCGGGAGGCTCACTCAGGAGAATTGCTTGAGCGAACCCGGGAGGCTGAGGTTGCAGTAAGCCGAGATCGCACCATTGCACTCCAGCCTGGGTGCCAGAGCGAGACTCCGTCTCAAAAAAAAAAAAAAAAAAAAAAAAATTGACCCAAAGCCTACTTGGGCAGACGCTTGGGGAAAGGGAGAGGAGTTGCGTTCAGTACTGTCTTGTCCCAAATGCTGAGCTGGCACTGAAGGCCTCTGAACATCATGCACGCCTAGGACTTTGCGATTCAGGGAAAATTAAAAAGAATAAATGTCAGAACTAAATACTACAGATGCCCTGAGTGGAGGTGATGACACCTTTGCAGCCAGCCACATTTAGGTTCAAGGTCCCGACAGCATCAGCCCACATGCTGAATGTCACTCCAGAACCCAGCCCTCTCTTCTCAAAATCTTTCCTTGGGCTTGGGCACATAAATGACCACAAATGACCAAGGGACAGCATCTTTCAAGTTGATATAGGAGACCAAGTCGCATCCCAAGGCCCCCTGTCTCCCTCCTGTGATCAAGAATAATATTTTCATTTGTACAAATTGCCATTTAAATTTTTTATATATACTATGATATTTGAGCCTCAGCATCTCTGCGTGAGATGGAGCGAGAATCGCTGGCTTTCCAGAGGAGGAAGTAGGTACAGAGAGGCTAAGTGACTCAGAGACAAAGGACTGGGGGATGGCTGGATAGCCTGTGTAACCTGTGTCAGTGTAAAGATCATGAAAGGCACTGCTGAGTGGTTGACAGTTCAGCTTTTGCTGCCGGGCAGACCCAGGTTCTTTTCCCAGGCATGCCCCTTGGTAAAAGGGATAAATGTGGGCACCTCCTGTAACGTCTCCAAGCTTCCCTTTCCTCTCTAATTGAGCAAGGATGTTATAAGGCTCTAACCACAACCTTCTTGGGAAGATTCAGTGAGATAAAGCATGCAAAGTTCTTAGTCCCATGCCAGGCATGTGATTAGCTCGTTGGATTTAGACCCGAGTTTTTTTCTCTTGGCTGTGATTCTCTTTGTGCCACCCACACAGCCCCCTGGTGCTTTGGGGACCTTGAAGAGCCCAGAGGGTAGTGTTAGACCCAGATAACCCATCCCGATGCTGATACCCGGATGCCTGGGTTTACCCAGCGTAGGTTTAGTATCTGCTCCCTCCCTGTCTCTTGGGGAACGGTTCCTACTGTATGTTAAAATCTAAGTTGTCAAGGTAAAATAAGCCGCTTATTTCTGCTTTTTCAAAGTTCAATTTCATTCACTTTTTAAAGTATTAATATTTGTTTCTATCAAAGTAATAGATGACATCATTTAAAAGTCAAATGGTTCCACAAGGCTGATTATGACAAACAGCTTCCTCCCTGCAACTCCTGCCACTTGCAACAGTTTTAGCTGTTTCTTCTAGTATTTGCCTCCATATAGATAAATAATTGACACAGGGCATTATTCCTTGATTGATTCACTTTTAGGTTGTTGAATTCCTGTTAAAAATGGATGAAGACGGCCAGGCACAGTGGTTCACACCTATAATACCAGCACTTTGGGAGGCTGAGGTGGGAGGATCACTTGATCTTAGGAGCTTGAGACCAGCCTGGGCAACCTAGTGAGATCCCATCTCTACAAAAAACACAAAAATTAGTCGGGTGTGGTGGCACATGCCTGCAGTCCCAGCTTCTCTGGAGGCTGAGGTGGGAGGATTGCCTGAGCCCCAAAGGCGGAGGTTGCAGTGAGTCCAAGAGTCCAGATCACACTACTGCACTCCAGCCCGGTGGACAGAGCGAGACTTTGTCACAAAGAAAAAAAAAATAAGGATGTAGATTTAGATTATAACCACCCACATTTTATTTCCTTTTCCATTTTCTTAGTATGGTGATAGCATAATTCTGGCTTAAAGCCGTAGTCATAAGCATGACATTATCGTGACTAATCCAAGTAGTATCCTGTGGTTGCAGCTCGTTTTTTAGACAACCCATTGTTTTACCCAAAGGGAATACTTGCCTTGCTTTCACTTATTTAGTTACTACATACCCTTCACTTTTCTCCCAAAAGTTCCTACAGATTCTCAGATGTCTACCAATATTAATTTCCAGCTACGTCGGGTAGTTCTCGTTCCTCTTTGGTTTGATTTTGGTTGCTGTGGCAGCTGCTACTGCTGTTGTTTTTCCAGGACCTCCCTCTTAGACTCCTCCAACCTCCTGCTCCAGCCTGGACTTGGTCTCATGCAGAGTCTCAACCCGGGATGCCGCATCCCCATCAGGGTCTTTCCTTCTCCCTCGTTCTGTATTGGGTCCTCTCTTTCCCGGATCCGGAGTCTTCCTGTTTTTTGTTTTACACCATTGTTTCGCTGGAGAACATCCTGCAATCAATCCAGAGAAAGCGCATATGGGAAGTAAAATGTTTGGATACTGGCATATCTGAAAAAGTCTTTATTCTAGCTTTGTATCTAATGAATAGTTTGACTGGATATAGAAATATACAAAAAAAAAATTTCTCTCAGAATACCAAAGGCGTTGCTCTGGAAAAGCCCACCATCCTATCCATTGTATGTGACACCCCCTTGGGCTCCCCAACAATGGGATCCTTTGGGAACTCCTTTTTGCTCCTTCTGATCTAAAATTTCAGGATGGGTGCCCTGATGTGGGTCTTTGTAAATCCATTGTACTCTGTGTTCGATGGGCACTTTTAGTCTGGAGACGTGACATGCATTCTTTTTTAGTTGTGAGGTTCTTTTTGGATTGTTTCTTTGACATCTTCTCCCCTCTTGCCTGTGTCCTCTCTTTCCAGAATTCCTATTTATCAAATGCTGGGCATGGCCTCCCACTCCTATACTTGTCTCTCCAGCTGTCTATCTCTGTCTTTTTATTCTACTTTCTGGGAGGCTTTGTCAGTATTTACTTTAATCTCTTCTCTGGACTTTCTAACCTTTGCCATTATGGTTTTGTTTTTTGTTGTTTTTTTTTTTCTTAAATTTCTAAGAGTTTCTTTATATTATCTGATTTTTTAATATTATGCTATTATTGTTTCAGGAACATAATATCCTCTCTTATCACTCTGATAATATTAGTTATCATTATTATTCTATGTTTCCTTCCAGCTCTTTTTTTCCAGTTTATTTGTGTTGGTCTCTCTTTCCTGTACGAGGCTTCCTCAGTTGTCTGCTGGCCCTGGTCTGTTGCTTCACACTTAGAAACTAAGCAGATGCTCCATTTCAGGGTGGGATGGTCCCCCAGTGGGTGTCCCTGTGACGTGATCCCGTCGCAAGCTGGTTCTTTCCCTGGGGAACCCCGAATATCAGTGTCTTGGTATCTGGACATCTTTCCTCTCTGGCTCTCCATTCTCTCCAGAAAAAACCCTTCCCTTCCTGCCTGGGACATGTCCTCCCACATCCAGGGATCGGGAGGGAACAGTCTCCACACTGGGTATAGAATTCCATGTAATTCCTGCACTTCCGGTCCACTTCATCCCTGCTTCCTGTTCTTCTTCAGAGAACGAACCTCTCATCTCTTTAATAGCAGAAAGGCGAGGAAAGGTGTTTGGCTTTGTTTTGCTATTTTTCCCAAACTGTGAACACTGCCTTCCTACCTTCCTCTCTCTTTCCCAGCAGGCAGGAGGCATGGCCACAGCAGACGCCCCTCTCACTTTCTCTTCCCTTCCACCCCCCTACTTTATACAATAGAGCAGGAAAATGTAGTCATAATCTATCCAAGTTGCAGAAAATTAAAATATGGATATGAGACAGCGGGGCTGTCATTGTGTGCTTCCGGTGGAGCAGGAGGAAGTGTGGAATAGGATTCCTACATGGTCCAACAGTGTTTCTGATGTGCTTGAACTCACTAAGGAGACAGGTGGGTGATAGAGAGGACATTGGCCAGGGCGTGGATACATCTCATTTAGAAATGTGAGTCCCGTCCCATGGGAAACTCTCACAGGAAGCCTGCCTGGAACGTTGCGTGTTCCCTGGAAAGAGACCAATAAGACGGCACAGCTTTCCCGCCAAGCCTTTTCCATCTGCTCCTCTCCCTCTTCCGGTGTGGCTTCCAACAGCCAACTGAAGGTGCCCATCCATCAGCCCCTGCAGGAGGCAGCGGACTTGTCCCATGAGACAGGAGCGAGTCAGGGAATGTGGACCCTCAGCTCTTCCCGCACTTTCTGGCTGCAGGATTGAATCCTGCCTATTCTGGGTTCTGCACTGACAGAAGAAGATGATCCACCATCAAAAATTAGTCATCACAGTGATGTCTGAAAGCTTTGCAAACATAGGTCGTAAAATGACAGAGTCTGTTTAGTTTTTTTATCAGAAAGATTTCCACAAATTATACATCTTACAGCTATAAGAGAAATCAAGAAATCACCAGCTCCCAATCTTCTTTACATGCAAACCTTCAGAGAGAAAAGAAAATTGGTGCTCATGTCGAAAGACCTTTCCATTCAGTTCCTCAGAGAAGTACTTTGATAGTTCCTTGATTGAGGTTAGGTGGCGTGAGTGGCTGTCAGAATGCCTAGATGCACCATCAGTATCATCCAAAAGGCCACCGAGGTGGCTAACTAGGAGAAAGGGCTGTATTGGCAGTACCGGTTTGCAAGCTGAGAAGAGAAAGTCTCCAGCGTGGACTGAAGGTGCTCTTTTTGAAAAGGAGAAGGGCAGGTCGGGTTTTATGACTCACGGTGTTCTTATTACATAATAGAGTCATACACATTCAGCAGGTTTGGGGAAAAGTTATGCATAGTTACGAAGGAGTGTCGAGTGTGTGTGCCATAGGTAGACATATTGGTGACATACTTACCATGTTTACTTTGGTTTTTTAAATTTTTAATTGTTGTGGGTACATAGTAGGTGTCTATATTTATGGGGTACATAAGATATTTTGATACAGGCATGTAATGTGTAATAACCACATCAGGGCAAATGGGGTATCCACCCCCTCAAGCATTTATCCTTTGTGTTACAAACAATCCACTTCTACTCTTTTACTTACATTAAAATGTACAATTCAATCATTATTGACCACAGTTACCCTGTTGTGCTATCAAATACTAGGTCTTATTCATTCTTTCTATTTTTGTGTACCCATTAACGATCCCCACCTCTCCCACCCTCACTACCCTTTCCAACCTCTGGTAACCATCCTTCTATTCTGTCTCCATGAGTTCAATGGTTTTCATTTTTAGCTCCCACAAATAAGTGAGAAAATATGAACTTTGTCTTTCTGTGCCTGGCCTATTTCACTTTACATCATGACCTCCCATTCCTTCCTGGGATGGCTTTTAGCATTAAAATGAGGTGGAATTTGAGGCGCTTTACCTCACCAGGTGAACTATAGGACACAAAGATGGTTTGTGTGCAGCCTCTGCGAACTGCTGAAACTGGCCTAAAGTCTACAGTAGCTCCTCAGAAGAGAATGTTTGTAAGGCTGGCCCTCTGTCCAGTCAGAGTTGTAATGGTCTGGGTTGTAAACCAGCATTGACAGCTCCTATTGGTAGAGAGTTTAGCCACAGAAATTGAGAAATTTGCTAGGCCAGCTGGCCCTGAACCCTCGACCTGTAGGTAACTTAACCTTAGAGTCTGGTGTAGTTGATAAAGGGGCATCTATTCTGGTCTCTAAGATTACATCAGGAATCTAATATTTCACCTGTATAAGTTTGCCCTTGCCCAAAGGGATTAGCTATGAACTCTTTATTTATTTATTATATAATAATAATAAATAAATATTTATTATTATATAATAATTATATATAATATAATATATTATATATTATATATCTTTATTATATATTATATAATATATATATTTTTTTGAGGCGGAGTCTTGCTCAGTCACCCAGGCTGGAGTGCGGTGACGTGATCTCAGCTCACTGCAACCTCTGCCTCCTGGGTTCATGCAATTCTCTTGCCTCAGCCTCCCAAGTAGCTGGGACTACTATGGGCATGCGACACCACACCCAGCTAATTTGTTTTTTTTGTGTGTTTTGTTTTGTTTTGTTTGGTTTTGTTTCAAAGTGAAACAGGGTTTCACCATGTTGCCCAGGCTGGTCTTGAACTCCAGGGCTCCAGTGATCCTCCTTCCTTGGCCTCCTAAAGTGCTGAGATTACAGGCGTGAGCCACCGCACCCAGCTGGCAATGCACTCTTTAGGGACATTCATCACATTTCAATTATGCTTCGTCTAAAAGCACTAACCTTCCCCAGCAGTGATAACCAAAGAAACAGGACTGTGCTTGCCATCTGGAGATGGGCTGAAATATGCTTCTTTAGGCTGGAGGAGAAGTTGGTACCAGCATTTTTCTGAGTGGATTTTTAAGCTCATCTTCCATGGCCTATCACTGTACTAGGCACATAGCCGATGCTCAGAAAATTATTTTTTAATTGGTTACTTTCCAAGGGAGCAAGGATTTGCATATTTCCTGAGAAATCACCGAGTTTTGTTGCCTACACTGCACTGAGAACAAATCATGACATAAAGGAAAAGGCTTAAAATTTCTGCTTTATGGGTGTTCTTGGGAGGGTGCAGATCTTGTCCAAATTGGTCTGGGAGCCTCTGCTGGCCAGGCGTGGTGGCTCATACCTATAATCCCAGCACTTTGGGAGGCCAAGGCAGTTGGCTTGAGGCCAGGAGTTTGAGATCAGCCTGGGCAACATAGCAAGACCCCAACCCTACAAAAAAATATATTTAATTAGCCAGGCATGGTGGCACACATTTGTAGTCCCAACTACTTGGGAAGCTGAGATGGGAGGATCACTTGAGCCCACAAGTTCGAGGCTGAAGTGAGCTAGGATGACACTGGGGCATTCCAGCCTGGATGACAGAGAACTCATCTCTTAAAAAAAAATGGAGTTTAAGTAATCATCCTTGGGCCACATTTGCAGTTTAGGTCTAAATGCTATCACTCTTGTTGATATTGAAATAAATGGTCTTTATTCAATACCTTCAACATGCTTTGCTAATGATCAGATGACGTCATCTCATCTGTAGGTGGGAGAACCAAGCCAAAGCCCAGAATCACATTCTAGAGGACAACATAAATATCTGCAGGTTTAGAGCATGCCCTTGTAGGACAGAGGGGGTATGAGAGAAGGACAGACAGGTACCTTCTTTTTCAACTTTCAAGAAACAAGCTTACATGGATCTGTCGTCTTGGCTGTGCCCATGATCTCTAAAAGAATGATTCCAGGCCAGGAATCAGTAGCTCACAGCTGTAATCCCAACACTTTGGGAGGCCAAGGCAGGAGGATTACTTGAGCCCAGGAGTTCAAGACCAACCTGAGAAACATAGTGAGACCCCCATCTCTACAAAAAAACTAAAATTAGCTAAGCACGGTGGTGTGTGCCTGTGGTCCCAGCTACCCAGGAGGCTGAGGCAGGAGGATCACTTGAGCTCAGGAGTTCAAGGCTGCAGTGAACTATGATGGTGCCACTGCACTCCATCCTGGGCAACAGAGCAAGACCCTGTCTCAACAAAAATAAATAAATAAAAGTAAAAATTATTTAAAATATAAGTTAATAAAAGAACGATTCCTTGAGATCCTGACATGGGCTGTCTGCGGTGGGGTGGACAGCATGAGAAATCCCAACGCGGCAGAGTTAGGGTTGCGGCTGAGCATGAGTGGCATTCACCTCGTGGATCATTAGACAAACATGAAGTGACTTGATGCTGAAAAACTGGCAGAGGACTAAGAATGAGGAATTGTGCGAGATCGCATCAGTCTCATCCTGCACCACAGCCCCTGTTTGCCCCGGGGGCAAATTTGCGTAATTATGATGAGTTGTGCAATGAGGCATAGAGCCACAAGAAGAGAGCAAGTTGGGCTAAATATGGGCATTGTGTCCCACTTTAATGATATACGGTGTATTAGTCAGAGGGACAGAACCGATAGGATATATATAGATATACAGAAAGAGACTTCTTATGAGGAGTTGGCTCACAAGATCATGGGGGCTGAGAGATCCCACAGTCTGCTGTCTGCAAGCTGGAGACCCAGGAAAGCCAGTGGTGTCAGTCCACTGGCTGAGTCCAAAGACCTGAGAACCAGGGAGCCAGTGGTATAAGTCCCAGTCCAAGGACAAGAGAAGATGAAATGTGATGTCCCAGCTCAAAAAGCAAGGGACAAAAAGAAAGAAAGAAAAATGAAAAAAGGGGCAAGCTCCTCCACCCTCCATCTTTTGTTCTATTCAAGCCTTCCAGGATTGTGTGATGTCCACCCACACTGGGGAGGGTGGTCTATTGAGTCCACTGATTCAAATGCTGATCTCATCCAGAAACACCCTCGTAGACACATCCAGAAACTGTTTAATCTGGGCAACTCGGGGCCGGACACAGTGGCTCATGCCTGTAATCCCAGCACTTTGGGAGGCCGAGGTGGGTGGATCACTTGAGCCCAGGAGTTCTAGACCACCCGGGGCAACATGGTGAAACCTCGTCTCTATTAAAAATACAAAAAGCTAGCTGGTTGTGGTGATGGGCACCTGTAATCCCAGCTACTCAGGAAACTGAGGCACAAGAATCGCTCGAACCCAGGAGGCAGAGGTTGCAGTCAGCCGAGATGGTGTCACTGCACTCCAGCCTGGGTGACAGAGCAAGACCCTGTCTCAAAAATAAATAATCTGGGTAACCCTTGGCCTGTCAAGTTGACACATAAAATACACCACAGACACGGTGACCAGTACACACACATACGCACACACACACACACACACACACACACACAACCCATCTCTTTTAAAACAAAATCTTCCATCTCTACTAAAAAATGCAAAAAATTAGCCAGGCGTGGTGGTGGGTGCCTGTCGTCCCAGCTACTTGGGAGGCTGAGGCAGGAGAATGGCCTGAACCCAGGAGGCAGAGCTTGCAGTGAGCCGAAATCGCGCCACTACACTCCAGCCTGGGCGACAAGGCAAGACTCCCGTCTCAAAAAAAAAAAAAAAAAAAAAATCTAGTAAAGTTTCCTATAAATGCTAAGACATACTAAAGAACAAAGGCAAAACTGTGGAGTTCAGATTATCTATAGATACTCATCAGCAGAAATAAATAATATAGATCTAATACTTGTAGTGTGTTTTATATTTCCAAGTCACTTCATTTATGCCTCACCAAACCCAGTAAAATAATTGGAAAGGAAATTGTTATCCCCATTTTACTGATAAGGAAAATCAAACTCAAGGTCAGGTGGTTCAGTCCATGTCCTCAAGGCATTGGGGGGTTAAGACCAGAATATGGGACTTTCAGGGGACAGTAGAAATAATCTTAAGGAGAATGGCATGCCACTATTATCTTTAGATGTTTTGTGGGTAAGAATAAACGTGGTGATAACTGGTGAGAATTCGTTAGGAAAACGCTTGGTGGCTTTCCTAACCCTACAAGTGGTTCCGAGTGGACTTTGCAAAGACTGTCCTTGTCAAAATCTTCTCGACCTACTATATGGTTGTCAATTACATTTTCTCACGGAATTATCTCATTTGTCTTACATGAGAGTTGGAATTCCTGCAGTTCCGGACCATGGTGGGCTGCTTGTCATTAAGATTCTTGGTTAAATGTAAAGACCACCACCAAGTCCCTCTGAGCAAAGAGGCCCTCCGGCTCTCAGGACTCTTGGAGAACATCCGTAACACCTGCCATTTGGGGTTCCCACGGGCCCACTTGTTAGAAACACTTGGAGACCCTCAGATGGAAATCTTTCTGAGAATATTGTTAGGCATGGTGTTGCTGATAAATGACCTCAGGCCTCTTCCTTCGGCAGTTCAGTCACCTGGGATAAAACAACACGGCGTGGGAGGAAGTGGGGCAGCCCTTCCCACCCCTACTCAGAGCACGTTCGCACACACACACACACACACACATACCTGCAGACGGTCACGGTTCGTCTTTCCATACCATTTCTCAAAGATCAAAGGAAGCAGCATGCATTATTCAGTAGTAAGGAAAGCAGATGCCTAAAGTACACACCCAGTGGCCACAGTCACCAAAGGACCTTACACTTCCTCCTGCCAGCATCGCCCTGGGCTTCTCTAGAGTCTCAAAGTAATTATTCCATGCCCACCAGACAGCCCAAGATTCCCAGGCTAGATTCCAGCTCAGACACTGCAGAAACCCCTCCCTCCAATGGCCGCAAGAGCACGGGGGGCTTCACCGCAGAGCTGTGGATTGCATAAGCGCAGAGGAATGTTACACCTCAGCCCCTGCATAAGGCAGATGGAAGCCACCCTCAAGCCTCCGGGAAGTGTCTTCTGCTCCTCCTCCTATGATCCCATTTTGTCCTTAGTTACAGTTATGGGGAAAGCCCAGAATCCCAGGAAAAAAATGGGATTTTTGCACACTCTGTGTGGTCTCCTTCAGTGTAGTTCCTCTGCTTGAGCAGAAACCCATGAAAGATGCCACCTCTGGCCGGGCACGGAGGCTCATGCCTGTAATCCCAGCACTTTGGGAAGCCGAGGTGGGTGGATCACTTGAGGTCAGTAGTTTGAGACCAGCCTGGCCAACATGGTGAAACCCTGCTTCCACTAAAAATAAAAAAATTGGCCAGGCATGGTGACGCACACCTGTAATCCTAGCTATTTGGGAGGTTGTGGCACAAGAATTGCTGGAACCCAGAAGGCGGAGGTTGCTGTGAGCCCAGGTTGCACCACTGCATTCCAGCCTGGGTGACACAGTGAGATCCTGTCTCAAAAAAAATAAATGAAAAGCCACCTCTGGACCACTGGAGAAGTCAGATAAGGAAAAGGGAGAGTCATTTTCTTAATGTCATATGGGAGCACATTTCTGCTAGGAAGACCCCTGAAAACATCTAATAACTCCCCTGTGTGGAACTTGGCTTTCAGGGGTGTTTTGTTTCGTTTCGTTTTGTCTTTTGAGATGGAGTCTCACTCTGTCACCAGGCTGGAGTGCAGTGGCGCTATCTCGGCTCACTGCAACCTCCATCTCCAGGGTTCAAGCGATTCTCCTGCCTCAGCCTCCTGAGTAGCTGGGACTACAGGCGTGCACCACCACGCCCAACTAATTTTTGTGTTTTTAGTAGAGACGGGGTTTCACCATGTTGTCCAGGATGGTATCAATCTCTTGACCTCATGATCTGCCCTCCTCGGTCTCCCAAAGTGCTGGGATTACAAGCTTAAACCACTGTGCCCGGCCAGCTTTCAGGTTTTGAAGTACCATGGGAAATTTTCAGAGTAAGCCGGAAGTCTAGAGCTCTGCTCCATCGTGGTAGAATCTTAAGGATAAAGCCACCTGGAAGGATGAGGTGTATAAGGGGGAAACAGTATCATGAACAAGTGACATTGGGGAATTGGGCAAAGACTCTCAGGATGTCTTCCCACCACCCTAGATTGGTTCTTATCCACACCGTTTTGGTCTTTGTGTTGAGTCCTATGAGAACATCCAATGAAATGATCCTTAAATTCAATGCATGTTAAATAGGCGAGGTCAGAAATAATAATGCAGCTCTTTCCATCAGATTTTGTAAGCATGTGCAATGCCTGGGGCGCTTGAATCTTTAATCATTTTCCCTCCCACTGGCCACATTTCACCTCCTCCTGTTTTTGATATCTTCACTGGGAGATAGATAGTCAAGGTCAGGCTTTTCACCCGAAAAGTCACCACAGTTAAAGGTGCCAGTTCTCACTTAACCCGAGAACAACTATGGTGAGAGAGAAGTTGAATCAATCAGGTTAGATATTTGATGGTGCTTTCCTGTGGATATTTTTGGTAGCTTTCCTGTGGATATCAGTTATGTTACAGTTAATGTTCACCAATGATACTCTCCTGGGACCACATAATGGGCTGTGTAAAATAGAATAAAAGACCTTCCTTCGTGTTACCCGCCTCCGCGCAGGTAGAGACATCTTCGTTTAGCGGATGAATCAAATAGCAAACTAAAAGCTATGTTCACACTTAAAAGTGTTATTTTCTGATGGTTGGTTTTGAGTTGCGCATCAGATAAGCCTCTCAGCAGATGTTAAATATTAGCCCGCAGTCGACCATTGGCTGTAACATAAGGTGTAAATGTTTGACAGAAAAGCACACATACAACAGCACGCTAACAAGTGCACCCCAAGGCATTCAGGTGGGAATGGAAACGCACAGAGTGAGAGTAGAAACCATCTATTGTGGAAATCCTGGACAGTGTTTCTGTGAAGCCATCTGTACACTGTTAAATGATTTACATTCTGATGGGACCTGCTAATCCCGGAACTGCAATTCCAAACATTCTTCCGCATCCCAGCACCGACAGCCTCTATCAATTCCAACCGCCGTAAAGCTCTTTCAGCTGGTTAAACGTAAGGAATTATTGTCCCCAATTCTTCCGTAGGCTCTCATGAGTTCTTTTAACCCGTACTTCTAAGGTGGTTCCAGGGCAAATATTAGTATCCAACTGTGAAATTCCCAGGCCCAAAGGAGCCTGAAAGATATCTCTCCTTCAAAAGATCCAGGTGTGCTTGAATGCATTGTTTTAAATTGCAGGAGCCAATTCTGGACCTCTCAAAAAATAATTACAAAATCCATGAATCGGCCGGGCATGGTGGCTCATGCCTGTAATTCCAGTACTTTGGGAGGCCGAGGTGGGTGGATCACCTGAGGTCAGAAGTTCGAGACCAGCCTGGCCAACATGGTGAAATCCCATCTCTACTAAAAATGCAAAAAAATTAGCCAGGCGTGGTGGTGGGCGCCTGTAATCTCAGCTACTTGGGAGGCTGAGGCAGGAGAATTGCTGGAACCCGGGAGACAGAAGTTGCAGTGAGCCGAGATCGCACCATTGCACTCCAGCCTGGACGACAACAGTGAGACTCCGTCTCAAAAAAAAAAAAAAAAACAAAAAAAAAAAATCAATCCTTGAATCAGAGTCTGGCTTGTAATGCAAGTGAATAGAAACTCTTGCTAAGCAAATTGGATTATAGATATTGTTCTTAGAATACATTGGCTGAAACTGATTCTCTATTGATTTGGGTGGAAATGTAAGTCCTAAGGGAGGTCACACACTGGACAAGTAGTAGGGGGTCTGTTCCCGGCCCCTTAAGTGCCATTAAGGCCCTGTGGTTTTGCAAAGTCCCTTGATGTTTTTGGGTTCCATTCTCAGTAAAAGCACAGGGTCAGGCTGGCTGGTCTCTAAATCTCTTTTACCTCTAGCTCTCTGTCATCCAGTCAGCCACTATGGGATCTTGTGATACTAGGGAAAGAAAAATAAAATGGATATTTGTGCTTAAGCTTGACACCAGACATAGGATATCAATTAAATTGTGTATTATTCTGGCATGCTGATGGACTCCAGGCTTCTCTTTGTCTTTAACATGTGAGCTATGTATAATGAGAGAGTGTTGTGCACTTAGAAGACTTAGAAGTTTATTAAGAAGGTAGGTCATGTCCTCATGGTTAGTGAGTTTGTTGTTGTTAGGTTTTGTTTGTTTGTTTGTTTGTTTGTTTATTTGAGGCAGGGTCTCTCTGTCACCAGGCTGGAGTGTAGTGGCATGATTACAGCTCACTGTAGCCTCAACCTCCGCAGGCTCAGGGGACCCTCCCACCTCAGCCTCCCAAGTAGCTGGGACTACAGGCATACACCACCACTCCAGGCTAATTTTTGTATTTTTAATAGAGATGGGGTTTCGCCACGTTGACCAGGCTGGTCTTGAACTCCTGGGCTCAAGTGATCCATCCGCCTCTGCCTCCCAAAGTGTGTGAGCCATCATGCCCAGCTAGGTGTTTTTACCATACACACACACACACACACACACACACACACACACACGGAAATCTTTGGATGTGATCGATATGTTTATTACCTTGGTTGTGGTAATGGTATCATGGGTGTATGCATCTGTCCAAACTCATCAAATTGTTTACATTAAACATATGCAGTTTTTGAGGTGTTTTAGTTATACTTCAATAAAGCTGTTTTGGCCGGGTGCAGTGGCTCATGCCTGTAATCATCCCAACACTTTGGGAGGCCAAGGCAGGCAGGTCACCTGAGGCTAGGAGTTCCAGACCAGCCTGGCCAACCTGGTACCCCGTCTGTACTAAATACAAAAAAATTATCCGGTGTGGTGGTGTATGCCTGTAGTCCCAGCTACTCGGGAGGCTGAGACAGGAAAATCACTTGTACCTGGGAGGAGGAGGTTGCAGTGAGCCAAGATCGCACCACTGCACTCCAGCTTGGGTGACACAGCAAGACTCTGTCTCAGAGAAAGAAAAAAGCTGTTAAAAGATATGAACTATATACATTTTGAAATATGTATTTCAAAAATATAAATATAAAGAGAGAGAGAGAAAAGGAATTTTTTCAAAAACCAAGGAGAGGTTTAAGTGCTTTGAAGACCACGTCCCTAGATCACAATTAAGTATTTGGGGGAAGAACTAATAGGCAGAAACATTGTTAAACTTACACTGTGTAACAGTTGCTGACCAATAGAACTTTCTACAGTGGTAGAAACGTTCTGTATCTGAGCTGACGATACGGTAGTCACTAGCGACACTGAACTATTGAGCACATGAAAGAAATGTGGCTAGTACAACCGAGGAACTATATTTTTACATTTTATTTAATTTTAAGGAGTTACAATCCCACTGTAACATTCCTTTCAAAAAACAGCCTTTCAAGAAAGCCTTTCTTTATAGAAAGAAAGTTCTGAAGTTTAGTTTTTAAAGAAAATGCATTTTGTTGTCAAGCATCCCTATTCCAGTGATTAATAACATTAACAAACAGGTTTGTAAAATGCTGGGGCCTAGTCTGCCTCTTAATTTCTCTAAAGATTTAAAGGTGAGGCCCTTGAGATAGTCGGGTAGGCCCAGGTCCCCTAGTCCATCCCAGCTAAGAGCAGTAAAAACGATGTTGGGAGTGTTTAGGACTGAATAATTCAGGGTGTGGTCTCAGAGACTCAAGATGTTCTATGAATATTGGGGATTCTGAGCAATTCCTCAGAAAATAAGGCTTTTTGTTTGTTTGTTTGTTTGTTTTGAGCCAGGGTCTCACTCACCCCATTACCCAGGCTGGAGTGCGGTGGTACTATCACAGCTCGCTACAACCTCAACCTCCCACCTCAGCCTCCAAAACAGCTGCGTCTACAGACGTGCACCACCCTGCCCAGCTAATTTTTAAATTTTCTGTAGAGGCAGCATCTCATTATGTTGCCCAGGCTGGTCTCAAACTCCAGGGCTCAAGTAATCCTCCCGAAGAAGAGCTGTCATTTAAAATAAAAGAAAAAAATGGTGGTTAAATACCAAACTTGTCTTCGTTTGTTGCTTTTTCCTTTCAGGAGCTTATTGACGTTGACAGCGAAGTGGTGTTTGAATTAGCTTCCTATATTTTACAGGTAAGTTGTTTTTCTCCTCCTCTTTATGTCCCACGGCCATACACAGAAGAAAGGAAGTAAGACTTACCAGGCATAGCCAGTAGCTGTATCTACTCACTATTTGTCGTCTTACCTTTTTTTAGCCACAAGCTGCATAGAGCTATTAGAGACACTGACGGAAACCATAGCAATAAACAGGGGCTTGTAGTATTTCAAAATGTTAAGACAGAAAATCCCTGTAAAGCGAAGTTGTGTGTTTAACCTGAGCCTGGGAGAAACTGAGATCATTTACTGACCCCATTTTCTTTGGGTTTGGTACCTCCACCCTGGAGAAAGCCAAGTGAATAGCTAGAGTTAGTGGCCAAAAAATCATGTTCTGCCCCCTAGAAAGACAAGGTAAAGCCCTTTAGGTTATGCAAAAATAAAACGTAAAAAAAGATGTTATAGAATATTAGCTTAATAGTGGCAAGATGAGTTAAAATGATATCATTTCTTTATTCCTTCAATAAGTATTTACTGAGCAACTACTATGTTCAGGGCATTATACTGGATTCACTAAAGTTTCTCTGGTCCCTACCTCCAGAGTCTTCAGTATAATTGGGAACTAGCATAAAATACAAACCAAAACAAAAACTGACCCTAGAAATCGACAGTTCTATCCAGATACATGTTCATATTTAGAATCTTTAATCTAGAACATGTCAGACCCAGGCTTAGAGGTGGAGATGTGCATTTTGTCATTATGAATCACTTACTTTGTATATAAGTTTCTAGAGTTTAGTTTCATATTTCATATTCAAATGGCAAAGGTGTGCATTCAGTTTTAATTGTATTCCTGCAGCAAATAGGATGATAACTGCAGGAAGCTGAACTCATCTCATTCAGTAGAGAAACTCTCATGATTATAGAATGTACTTTAGAGTCTCTAACATTGGCTTAGTGTATTTCGCTGATGTTGAATTTTTTCTTCTACAGGAGGCAAAGGGAGATTTTTCTAGGTAAGTTTACAATTTTGTTGTTGTGTTGTTTAAAATGTAAGCCCTTGCTTCTCTATTAAAAGAAACTAATCAGGATGTCCTTTTTAGGTGGACAATTTATTCATGTTATATGTTAATGATGAGATCTAACTCTCAACTTGTCCACTGAAACAGATAGATCAGGTGGAGAAAATATAGTAATAGCAAGGGAGATATTCTCCACTACATGCAAAGCCCGGAGATTACTGGAAAGCTGACATTAGGCCCAGCGTCACACATGCCCATTGTCCTGAGGTTGGACAGGCTGCTCAAATGTCTCGTAGAGGCTGGAATCACCACTGTGGTGTAAATATGATTGCAGATAACCTGTCAGTCCTGACAAGTAGGTGGACATCTTTTTTTCTCTCAATGTAGTCCCTGCCCCTCAAGGGACAAAATACTTTCTTACAGGGAAATTTCATTCGTGAAAATGTTACAACATAAAAATACCCCACCTCTGCTTTCCTTCTGTCTTAGGATATTGTGTTGGAGAAAACATAAACAGACAACTACTGGGAATCTGTGAATGTTGTTAATAACCCTGTAAAACTGCAAACTTGTCATTTATTTCATTCATCACCATATGTTGATCAGTATGGCTGAAATTGCCCTGAAATCGCCCTGAAATCTCTTGTGATCATCACCAGACCCTGCACAGAGCAGAGGGTGTAGCCAACCACTAGCAGGACTATCTGCTCAAAGATAGTCGTTATTCCTGGGATTCTGTTTGATCAAGCTCCTCTGAAAAAAAAAAAAAAGGCCAGGGTAGCCCATTCTGGAGAATCAAGGTTTAGAGGCAAAAAGAGTGAACCACATGAACAGGAAAGGAAAGCATCAAGGCGTAAGGTTCTGGCCCATTAACAGGAAATTAGCAAATTGGTATTAAAAAGAAACACAGATCGTACCTCTGCTCCATCTAAGAACCTGTCTGTTTCCCCATGCTTTGAGGGATTTTATCTGTAAATGCAGCAAAAACTACTTCTGTTGGTGGCCACCTGTAGTTGGCTGTCTTTGTCACTGGTTTTTCAGGTCTCAACTGCTTTCTCCTTGCTCTCCATGTACACTTCTCATGCTTGCTTTTTTATTATTATTATTTTTTAATTTTTTTCAGAGACAAGGTCTCCTTCTGTTACCCAGGCTGGAGTGCAGTGGTGCAGTCATGTCTCACTGTAACCTCCAGCTCCTGGGCTCAAGTGATCCTCCTGCCTCAGCCTCCCAAGTTGCTGGGACTACAGGCATGAGTCACTGCACCGGGCTAATTATTTTATTTTATTTTTTGTAGAGATGAGCTCTCACTATGTTGACTGTTCTCAGTCAGACATCTCAGCAAAAGCAAAAAATTATTTTACAGTCTAAAACAAGGATCGGCGAGCTTTTTTTGTTGAGGGCCAGATTGTCAGTATCTTGAGTTTTGCACGCAGTACGATCTCTGTTTCAATTACACAACTCTTCCTAAGTGCAAAAGCAGCCCCATAGGATAAGTAAATGGATGAGCCTGATTGTGTTCCAATAAAACTTTATTTATGGATACAGAAATATGAATTTCATATAAATGTTCATGTATCACAAAATATTCTTCTTCTTTTGGTTTCTTTTTCCAATCAGTTAAAAGTGTAAAAGCCATCCTTAGTTCATGGGTAATACATAAACAAGCAGAGGACTGGATTTGTCTAGGGGGTTGTAGTTGCTGACTCTGATCTCAAATGCCATCTCTTCAGCTCTGTTTGAATATTTGCATAAAGAGACCTCCAGGCCCCTTTTATTTAAGTTCTCCAAGTTTTTGGTATAAAGCAGTGGTAGTCAAATTTTTAAATAGATAATGACTGTAAGTAGCTTTGGCTGGAGACCTTGAACTTTGTAGGTGGCCAGTAACCATTTACCGAATTTGCTAAACATAATGTTTTCAGGTTACAGAAACTAAATCTTGTTACAATTTTTATTTGTCACTTTTTTATGACATTAATTTGGCCTTGGAATTTGGGGTTTTGATAAGTGCCAGTCCATATCTACTTACAAAGATTTCTGAAGTCCCATGAAAAAATGATTTAAAAACCACAAATCCAATGGATTCCAGTGTCTAGTCTACTTACTCACATTTTTCCCTCCACATTTCTTTCGCCAGCTCTGAACTCTGCTGTAAATATTATTTATTTTGAGAGTACCCTGACGGGATGGAATGTGAACTGGGAATAGCATGATCTGGCCCCACGGATCATGGGAACGTGTGGCCACATGGATTGCCAGGGAGAAGGAAGTGCAGGCTTGGCCTCCACAGTAATTCATGGCCCCCTAATGAGCTTCTGGAATGCCAGCTTGTTGGCTGAATTCAAAGAAACAAAGGATCCGGGTTGTGCTCCATTTGTCAAAGTGCTACTGCTACCTAGCAGTTTGTTTGTAAGCGCAGCTGTCTGGGAAGAGAAATCACTGTCAGGAGAGGGGAGAGGTCAGACACCTTATCCAAAAGGTCAGTTTATCTCACAGCCTAAAACCTACACCATGGACGGTGGGGGTGATTTGTTACATGGGAGTCTCTGATAAACACCCTTTTTCTGTAGCAGGCCCATGCTAGTAAAGCCATCTTCAGAGGTCCAGAGAAACTAGTACACTTGAGTGGCCTAAAATTGTGGAGTAATAGAAGTAATTCCAAATTCCTTCCCATCTGCTTCTGGGAAGATACCCAACACGTCGAAATTGACCACATTCGGTTCAGTGGCTAAACATTAGGTATTTTAGATGTCCCATTCTCATAACTTATGTAATTTATATAAATAAATTTATTTATGATTTATTATAGAAAGTTGTTTTTGCTATTGATGCAGGATTTTTTGCTCCTTAGTTCAACTAAAATCCAGCTTCTTGTCTCACGACCAGGAAAAAATAGGCACATGGACACACTGAAGGGAGAGGAGAGTGGATTATTAAGCGAAAAGAAGGCTCTCAGCAAAAAAAGAGAGGGTCCTGCCAACAGGCTCCCACCTCACAGATTGAATATCAGTCTCCTCCCCTGCATAAGGCATGAATTCTTGGTGGCTCCACCCCCTTCTCCTAGTGCACATGTGGGCCCCAGTCCCTTGCAGGCACGCCCGGGCAAGACCCTGTGCAGGTTTCCTTATCTGCATCTGCATGCCTCCTGCATCTATCACTATTATTAAATGCATGACTATATAACCTCAGTTTTATTTAAAGGAATGGCTTTGACTTCCATACTGTAGATATGTTTTCCTGAACCACATTAATAAAATACCAGCTTAGAACACACAGAACCCTAGAAAAGGCTTTTCTAGATATAACACAGGGTCTAGGGCTGAACTCAAAGATCTTCTAAAATCCAGAGGATCCAATAACCTTTTAAATGAATGGCCACACACAAAAGATAAAGTAACTCTTTCATAGCCTGAAAGGTCCTGAATCTAAAACTTCCCAAAAGGCTATTTTCTTCAGGATACTATTATCCTAGATATTTACATTTCAGGGACTATATCCAAATTACATTTATGTGGAATGAGTATTAATTCATAAATTATGGGAGCAGTTTCCTTGAGGTACAAGAGAAAAGGGGATTGCTTTTACAAAAGAGAAGTCAAGGGCTGGGTGTGGTGGCTCATGCCTGTAATCCCAGCACTTTGGGAGGCCAAGGCAGGTGAATCACCTAAGGTCGAGAGTTCAAGACCAGCCTGGCCAACATGGTGAAACCCTGTCTCTACTAAAAATACAAAAATTAGCCAGGTGTGGTGGTGTGCGCCTGTAATCCCAGATACTCGGGAGGCTGAGGCAGGAGAATTGCTTGAACCTGGTAGGCGGAGGTTGCAGTGAGCTGAGATCGTGCCATTACACTCCAGCCTGGGTGACAAGAGCAAAACTCCCTCTCAAATAAAAAAAAGACGAAGTCAAAAGTGCTGATACACCTTAATGGAAAGAGAACTATATAAAGACAACTGTGAACCGTAGCTACTCTTTCTCATGAAACTCACTTGCTCTTCCGTTTCTTCTTTTGGGCTCTCTGTTTTGCTCAGCAGATGCCTGAAGGCTTATTCTTACATAACTGTCTTTTCTTTCCCACTAACAAAATAGCTCACTTCCTTGTCTTATTGGACTTTACACTGAAATGTCAGGTTTAGCGTGCTGAGAGAAAATGACTGTTATCTAGATAGATGATTAGTATCGCCTGCCATAGAAGAGATACAGACCACACATGTTCATATTCTACCAAATGGAGGACAAATTTGTACGATACTTCTAAAGGTTTAGGAAATAGTCTTATCTAAAAATAACATTTTTTCACTTTTATTGTTTTCCTTAGCACAGCATGTAGTAATCTCATTTCATTTCCTGATGTATATACATGTAAAACAAAAAACCTCATGTCTGTCGACAATCAGGAAGTCAGTAGAGTTGGCATTTCTCTTTAAAAACAATTCAGTAGCCTCCAAGCTGTTAACAAAGGCAGCTGTGGGCCAAATATTTGGAAGACAAGAACCGATGCAGTTTAAAAACAAAAAATTGTCTTTCGATAATCGCTGTTGACCATTGGCCAACTAACTAACAGACATTATCTATGATTCTTACATACTTTATTCATCGTAAACAGTGCAGGGTTTTGAGAATGGAGCACTGATGTTTTCTGTTTCAAAGCTTTTTTAAAAACTCTTGGGTTATGATAGAAAAACTAATGTTCTCTTCCTTAAAAAGTTCAGTGCAGAGAATACCTCATTTAATCGACTGATAGGACGTCCAATTTTCTAGTTATATTCTAATTTAATTTAACAGAAGTCTCATTGCAACACTGTACTGAGGGAGATATCACATACAAAAACTTGATTTTTTGGTTTTTGTCTATAAGGGACCTTAACTGAAAACCTTATCAGCCAATCTCCTTACCCTGATTTTGAGAATCACTTCACCTCTGCCAGCCCTTCTGATCTTTCTAAAAATGTGCCGCAAATTTTCTTAAAATAATAACTTTAAGCAAAGCATGGTGGCTCACGTCTTTAATCCCAGCACTTTGGGAGGCCGAGGCGGATGGATTGCTTGAGGCCAGGAGTTCGAGACCAGCCAGGGCAACGTGACAAAACCCCGTCTCCACTAAAAATACAAAAACAATTAGTCGGGCATGGTGGCGTGTGCCTGTAGTCCCAGCTACTTGGGAGGCTGAGGTGGGAGGATTGCTTGATCCCAGGAGGCAGAGGCTGCCGCTGCAGTGAGCCGAGATTGCACCACTGCACTCCAGCCTGAGTAATAGAGCGAGACCCTGTCTCAAAAAATAAAATAAAAAATAACGTTTAGCATTTTGCAATATTGAAGTACTTTTAAAATGCTTTGCGCTAAACAATGCAAATCACAAATGCCAAAATCACACTACCTTTGAAATAAAGAATCGTCCATACATTAACAGAGACAAGTAAAAAACATCTGTTCTATAGAATTTTTTGTTAACAAGATTTATTGAAACCAGATCAGTAAAGCTGTGTTACTCTGGACCCTCTTCTGGGACCTGGAAATATTTTTGTTTCCGAGGACTGGATATACTGATGCTAATCACTAAAACAGGATTCTCCCAGCATGAGATTTATTAAGACCAGAAAGCAAACAGCACCTGGAAAAGACAGATAGTAAGGAAATTCCGTGTAAAGATTCTTGGTCCACGTTTTGCCTACCTGGCTCTGTTCAGCAGAACCCATCACATGCTTAAGAGGCGATGGAAGGGACCCTGTGTCTACAGGCTCACCATTCCAAATAAACATAGCCACCAAAGGAAAAGAACTCAGGTTTTGATTGAATACTTGGGGGCCAGTTTACATGACATCTCTACAAGATGAAATGCCAGTCCAAGTGAGAGAATATCAGCTTATCAGAGCTTAGTGAGTGTCGGCTAAGAAATCTTAGTGTATACCTGTGGTGTCAGTCTGCAAGTTACTAATTCTGTTTCTTTAAAACAAAAAATGAAAAACAGCTTGCTTTTAGAAACAGAACAATGCATCACCCAATCAATGGAAACAAATAGTAGCAGTCCCTCATTAACAAGGAAAATTGATTTTCACCTCCATTTTAGAAGAGGAGTTGGAGTATTTATTTGTGCTGAAAAATTCCCATTAACTTCCACAAACCACATGTTATTAGGTGCCCAGGGGAGCGGTTAGAGGCAAAAATGTAAAGACCTTTTAGTATTTTATCTTCTATAAACCATGGGATGGTGTGCTCACTAGTGTGGAAAGAAATTTTTATGGCCCAAAAAGAGTGCCTTCTTGGTTTTCTCTTTCTTTCTTTGAAATCTGTTCTGCCTTTATAAAGAGCCATGTGTGAATTAATATAAACTGAACTCAACTTACTGGTATCCGAAAATTCCAGGTTTGTAAGTCTTTTTTGCCAGGCCAGAGGGTGCCTTTTGGGAAGTCACAGGCTAGAGGAAGAGCTTTAGATGATCAACAGGAAAAGAACACGAAGAACTAATTTTCTTCTAAAAGACTTTTTTTGAGTAATATAAACGTTTATATCGATTGCGATCTTTAAAAAGATGACAAAGTCATTTTCTTGCCAGCTACAACATGGAGACTTGATTAATCTAAAGCAGCAGTCTGTAAATCACAATTCCTAGTATACCAATATCATTTCCCTGCACTTACAGAAGTGGTTTTACTACCACAGCTTTAGCTCTAGCTCTAGCTAGCTCGGTTTCAAATCGTTATTAGATCATTTGGGGCATATTTCCCTACGATTTTTAAATTGACCACTTGAAAATAAACAGCTGGCATGATCATATGGTACGAGAAATAGACTTGCTGAGGCTTTTAGATAATTCCTGAAAAAATACTCAGTTATGTCTGAAATAGTTAACATTGGGAACATAACTTATGTAACTTAACAGTAACTTTAATATCTACCTAAACTTTCAAATTTCCCTGTTGGAAACATCCTAGAAAAAAAAAAGTTGATCTGTTAAACTTGAAACACACCTAACAGCCCAAAGAAGAGTTTTTGTGGGAAGAATTGAAATTAATATAATTCTCATATACTATTTATATACTGTTTTACACACACACACACACACACACACACACACACACGAAAGAATTGTGTGTGGCGTTTTCCCATGATTTAAAAATGACTTTAAGGGCCATGAGTAATTGAAGAGCAGATGGAATCTTTCACACCAGCAAGAGCTTTTGAAAGGAACAGAATCTGTGAAAATTTGAAGCAAAATGTTCAAGTGGAAAAGTTATAAATTGTTACAGAAAGCTTTGTTTTGTGCACTAAAGTCTATTTGATGGAGCTTTCAAGTGTGTAATTCACATTTTCAAAGCATAAAAAAGTATTTGGATAGGGATAGGGTAGTTTTTTTTTTGCAGGATGATATTCTTCAAATTCTATGCGAATTGCTTAGAAGCCAAGTAAGGAGGAAATTTTGTATTATGACAGCTTACTTCTTTTGTTAGGCATTTATTTAACATATTAAAATATCATATTTTCAGTTATACCTGTGAACAGCAAAACGTTTCATGGCTATGGTACTGTGTCAGTTTTTCAGAGTGGAAATTCTGAAACTAAAGGGTGATACTGAGAAATATAGAAAGTTAATCGTTTCTTCTTGGGCTTTTTGAGAAAATTATTTGCCTGAAATTGTAGACTTATGAAACAATTTTTAAATTTGTCTTAAATTTTACATGTTTATACCTAACATAAATTAGAAATTCATAAAACTTCATTTCACCCCAGAAAACGAGACTCGGTAATCAAGGAAGAAATCCTTACTTATATAACTTAACAATTAGCAACAGAAATAAAGGCACTGCCAGACACTGTGGCTCACGCCTATAATCCCAGCACTTTGGGAGGCCAAGGCAGGAGGATTGCTTGAGCCCAGGAGTTCAAGATGAGCCTAGGCAACATAGTGAGACCTCATCTCTACAAAATATTTAAAAAATTAACCAGGTGCAGTGATAAGCACCTGTAGTCCCAGCTGCTTGGAGGCTAAGGCAGGTGGTTCACTTGAGCCTGGGAGGTGGAGGCTGCAGTGAGCCATGATCTCAAAACTGCGCTCTAGCCTGGGCAACAAAGCGAGACCCTGTCTCAAAAAAAAAAAAAAAAAAAAATAGAAAGGTACATATTTCATCAATGTGTTTGCAATGTTGCCCCCAACAAACAGTTGGTAAATTCATGTGATTTATCTATGATTCATGCCCAGAATTCAGAATCCCATGCTGGAAAAACCTCCTGGGGCCTCCAAGTGATTCCCTTTGTCTGTGAATGGTCACACACTATGGCAGGAAAAGTTTCTCAGACAGATGGGACCCAACCCAATGGTGGAAGACCCCTGCAACATTTCTTTCCTACACACCTGGGGAAAAAAGCATGTGATTGGGCGGAGATAGGCAGGTGCTCTCTTTTCTTTGTTGTAACCTCAGCTTCACCTTGGTTTACCAAAAAAAGGAGGAGGAAGAAAGGAAAGGGAAATTAAAGATTGTTTCCTGCATGATTTCTTAAAGATCAGCAAAGAATGAAAATCTATAACTTCCCTCATTAATCTGTCTCAGTTTTCTAGGTCCACTGTATGATCGAACAAAGGAACAGAGAGCCACGTATGTATATCTAGAACTTTAGGGTCTCAATGTTTACGAATTCAGAACTTGGCAGGATTTAGGCAGGTAATTCAGGGCTTGTACGACACCCTGGGCAGGGCCTAGGGCAGCACCTGGAATTAAACACATCAACACCTCCAGCCCAAAACATGGATATGCGCAGCAAGTGGGCGCAAATAGAAAGGTCCATCATTGCCTCATGCAAAAAGATGAAGTTTGCCGCCAGATGGGTTAAGAAATGTTTCTTAGACTCTAGCTTTTTGAATTTTGGAATTGTGATAATGGATGAAGGACCTGCAACACTCTACTTATGAAATATCCCGCCCCTGAGAACTTGACCTTCATGATTCTGCTCATAAAATATGGAGGAGTGAGGCCAATGCTAGCATTATATTACTGTTTCTGAATTGCAGGCTGTTCCTTTCTGTTACGATAGTATCACATTCTGGGTTTTGTGCTCTGCTGTTTTTGTACCAGTGCAGACAGAAACGACTGGTTTTAGCAAGAATTCTTTCACGCTAAGCCTATTCTGTTCGTCCCAAGTTTCTCCCACAAATTACATACATCTCATTTGACCCAGGGGGACTTTCTTGAAAAAGTTATTTCCAGGTTTTTTAAAGAAAAGCAAACACATTGTGGATTTTCCTCATCCTTCCCTCTCAGGTTTAATTTTTGCTCCCTTCACTTTGTGGCATCTTGGTTAAATCTGCTGTTCACTGTGGCAAATTCTCTATTTGATATATTGCTAGAAATCTTTGTTTTTCCCCAGTAGATCATTCTAACTTTCCTTGTTTCGTGAGGAGTATAGGCTGCAGAAGACAGGCACATCATCTCAAAGAAAAAAACACCACTAAATCGAAGACCAATACAGCATTGATACCACTTTTATCCTGGCAACGTTAATAACTGCCGGAGAGTTTTTAATAAAAACTGATTCATATTAAAGATAAGAAGACTTGGATGTTATTCTCAGTTTAGCAACTGGCTTTTCAAGAGAACTTTTTGCATTTTTCTTTTTCTTTTCTATTCTTTTGGTTTTTGAGACAGGGTCTCCCTCTGTTGCCCAGGCTGGAGAACAGTGGCATGGTCATAGCTCACTCTAATGTCAAACTCCTGGGCTCAAGCAATCCTCCCACTTTAGCCTCCCAGATAGCTGGGACTACAAGTGCAAACCACTACACCTGGCTGTTTTTTATATTTTTATTTTTAAAGAGATGGAGTCTTGCTATGTTGCCCAGGCTGGTCTCAAACTCCTGGACTCAAGCAGTCCTCCCACCTTGGCCTCCCAAAGTGCTGGGATTATAAGCATGAGCCACCACATCCAGCTCTTTTTTGCATTTTTCTAAAAATGGAATGCAGCCACAGTGAACTGTCTTAAGGTGTTTTATAAGTTGGCATTTATCATATGTCATGAACTCTGGGGAAAATGTCGAAGTGGAAGACATTGAGGGAGGAAGCTGTGAACTTCTAGAACATTCGTTAGGCCACAGCCTTGCAAGCTCTGGGGGTAGAGTGACCAAGTTTCCCATTAGGGGAGCTTTCTGATTTTCAGCCACAGAGTTTGGCCAGATTGACAGGGCTAGACACCCCTAAGTTATTGCAGATGTTTATAAACAGCAGAAAAGCAAACAGAACATTTCTATAGATTTGTCCTCGGGGAAGGATGAAGGGCCATGGATCCCTTCCAGAATATAATGGATTTGGACAGGTTTCACGCCTTGGTGATTTCTTGTTAGATTTTTTTGTGTGTAACCTTGCCCTGGAGCAGAGCTAGAGAACTCACTGCAGGCTTCAGTGAGGAAATCAAACCTGTGGCTGTCATCAGGGCAACTTGTTTGCCAACAAGCAAGGGTTTGGTGGGTAAAACGATCCCTTCCTCCTGGAGTTCCTTCCTTCCCCAAATATACTTTAGATGTGATGGGTGTGAGTGAAACCCAAACTCAAGTTTCAGCTCCTTCAGGGAGCCACTAATTGCCTTTCTCATGGTTTCATCCAATAAAGTTGATCTGAGAAAAGTGCCTTTCACATTGAAGCCAGCCCTCTGTGTGCTGATGGACCAATAAATCAAATCCCTTTTCTCAGGGAACTTACCATGACGCAGGGAGAGAAGATCCGGAAATTCATCAGTGTGGGCCCTCGAGTGTTTGGTGAATTGAATACTTGCTGAAACTATGCCTTTATAGCATGTGCTTAAAAATTACCGACTGTACTTGGGATTGGAATTGAGTTTTCCTGAACACTAGGAGTTTACCCGTTTGAAAATCACCAGGTGCTGTCCTGCTGTCTGCCTCCTGGATCAAACCCAGGAGAGGCTGAACCCTCTTAGCCTGGCATTAAAGTTTCACAATTCTCTGCCTGACCTGCCCTTTTCAGTGTATTGCCCCTGACATTCCTCTTACTCTGATGGATTTCTTCAGTTCATGTGGCTTCCATGTCTGTCCGTGTTCCCCTCAGGAGAAGAGTGATATTCCTATCCTTTTCTTCGTGCACGGCCTCCCCCAAAGCCAGTCTTACATCAGAGCCCAAGGGTGCCTTTATTTCCTCTGAGCTTTCGTGTCTGCTGTTTGGATTGACATGATCACACATCACCCCTGTGGTCAGTGAGCTTTGTAGGAGCTCCTCTCACCTTCTCAGCTAAATCGTGGGCACCTTCTGGTTAAGGACCATATCTCATCATTTTTTATATCCTCTACAATTCTTTCCATGTAATGGCAGGGGCTTCATAAACACCTTCAGCTTATTGATTATCAGTTGATCTGTCCTGGCCTTACCATTTAGATTCTAACAGTTCAAGTACTTGGATGGATTGATTCAAACAGTTACACTTTGAGCTTTTCCCTCTAGTTGGTCATGGTCAGGATTCACCAACACCACTGGTCATGGTCATTGTCTTTCCTTCTCTCTTTTCTTTCTTTCTTTCTTTCTTTCTTTCTTTCTTTCTTTCTTCATTTCTTTCTTTCTTTCTTTCTTTCTTTCTTTCTTTCTTCCTTCCTTCCTTCCTTCCTTCCTTTCCTTTCCCTCTCTTTCTCTCTCTCCTTCTCTCTCTCTCTTTCTTTTTCTCTGTCTCTTTCTTTCTCTTTCCCTTTTCTTTTCTTTTCTTTCTTGATAGGGTCTCCCTCTGTCACCCAGGCTGGAGTGTGGTGTTGCAATTACAGCTTACTGCAACCTCATCCTGGGTAACTAGGACTACAGGCATGCATCACTGTGCATGGCTAATTTTTGTATTTTTTGTAGAGACAGGATCCCACTATGTTGCCCAAGCTGATCTTGAGCTCCTGGACTGAAGTGATCCTCCCACTTCGGCCTCCCCAGATGCTGGGATTATAGGCATGAGCCACCACGCCTGGCCTCATTCTTTCTTAGGGCAACAGAAAAATGCTTTTTCTGGGAGTGCTCTAATGTCACCAAACCTCCATGTCTTTCTTTATCACCACACACAGACGTAATGTATTAGTGTATTGGTGTGGTTTTGCCCAGTGGCACTGGGCATCCAATGGTGACGCTGATCATTGCATTGCCCTTGGCTGTATTTCTCGCCGGGGACACAGGGAACAATGCATCCTCCAGTTAGCAGCATAGGTGCTGGAGTGTCCACCATCCAAGCACCTGAGGAACTCCCCTCTATGGCTGCGGTATTCCTTCCTTCCTTCAGAGTTATACCTTGTTTCATTGCTTTTTAGCAATGAAAAACATTGCTAAAAATGAAACAGTTATACCTGTTTCATTCCTTTTTAGATGGCACTGCCCAGTGTCCTGGTGGCCAGTATTTGCCTTGGTTAATATAAGCAACCTCGAAGCTGCTAACATAGCCCAGGTCAGAACTGCGAATCAAAGGCAGAATGCTCCTACATGTGCCTTTGCAACCCCGGCTAAGGCTTCCAAGGCTCTTTGGTGGACCAGGATAGGGAAACGCTCTTTCAGTATCAAAACTGTCCCAAAGTGGCTGCCGTTTGTTGCTCTGGAGGTAGTAAGTGGGTGCAGACGCCACAGATGGTCCGGCCCAGAGGGGATGCAGACCTGCTGAGTGTGTAAGGAGGAGTCAGTCACCTGAAGAAGGCTGGTTAAGCTAGGGGAGTTTAAAGCATCTTCCAAACCTAAGCATGTGTGAGTCTACAGGGAAAAGAATTTCTGGTTTCAGGACCGGATGCATAAAACTGCCTAATGGTACAGGTTGAGTCTCCCTCATCCCAAATGCTTGGGAGCAGAAGTGTTTCAGATTTCTTTCAGGCTTTGGAATATTTGTGTTATATACCAACTGGTTGAGCATCCTCAAATCTGAAAATCCAACATCCAAAGTGCTCCAATAAGCATTTCCTTTGAGCGTCATGTTGGCACTCAAAAAGTTTTAGATTCTGGCACATTTCTGATTTGGGATTTTGGGATATGGGATGCTCAGCCTGGCCCAGACAACGCAGTTCACACTTTCTAAGTAGTTTCTGAGCCTCCTCAAAAGCAAAAGTTACAGGTTGAGTCTCCCTAATCTGAAAATCCGAAATCCAACATGCTCCAAACTCAGAAACTTTTTGAGTGTTGACATGACGCTCAAAGGAAATGCTCATTTGAGCACTTTGGATTTCAGATGCTCAGGTTTTGTGGGGCTCAACCAGTAAGTATATAAATGCAAACAGTCAAACATCTGAAAAAAATCTGGAATCTGAAACACTTTTGCTCCCAAGCATTTCCGATAAAGGAGACTCCATCAGTATTTATTTGTCATATTTCAGAAAACAGTTTCCAGCATGTGGTCAACGTAAGCCATGAAAACCAGCTTTGTGTATTAGCAGCGCAAATGCTCTTAGGGAGACAGTGGCGCCATTGCCCATTCTCGGAGCTCTGTGAGCCTAACGGCGGGGTTCTGGGGAGCTTCTTCTAAGATCCTGCCCTGGGGGACCCCTGGGGACACTTCTTCTCCCCAAATTCCTGCTGAGGGCTGCTCAGGGGCGTTCACTCTGTGCCCTTCAGTGAGAGCAGGGTTTGGGAAGACACCCCTGGCCATCTGAAGGTGTTTTGCCCTGCTTTCTGCACGGTGAAAGGCGGTTACTGGGCTTGGTGTGTTCTGCCTTCGTTTACATCTGTATTTCGGAAATAAAAAGAGAGCGCCCCTTCCCCCCACTGCTTTTTATTAACAGGGAAGCAGATGTGGGGTCTCTCAGACAAGACAGCGGCCCAAGTGGTATCAGAGAGTGCGATTATTTTCTCAGAGGGTGAGTGCGTTTCTGGGCATTCTCTCTTTCAGCAATGAAGTTGTGAGGAGTGACTTGAAGAAGCTGCCAGCCCTTCCCACCCAAGCCCTGAAGGAGCACCCTTCCCTGGCCTACTGGTAAGACCCCTGGAGTCTTCCCCAGGAGCGAGTCCCTCTCGGGGTGCGAGGGGACACAGGACAACTGAATGTACCCTCCCTCCACCAGCTCCCACGTGCCAGCCTGGACTTGCAGCTGTATTAAGTACCCTGTGTCTTCCTGAAACCATTTTCTGCATTTATTTATTTATTTATTTATTTTTAAAATAATTAATTAATTTTTTTTTTTGAGACGGATCTCACTTTGTCACCCAGGCTGGAGTGCAGTGGCATGATCTCAGCTCATTGCAACTTCTGCCTCAAGCGATTCTCCTGCCTCAGCCTCCTGAGTAGCTGGGATTACAGGCACGCACCACCACACCTGGCTAATTTTTGTATTTTTAGTAGAGACCGGGTTTCACCATGTTGGCCAGGCTGGTCTCAAACTCCTGACCTCACTCAGGTGATCCGCTTGCCTCGGCCTCCCAAAGTGCTGGGATTACAGGGGTGAGCTACCACGCCTGGCCCGTTTTCTACATTTACTTAAGTGAAGCACTGTGCCTGAGACCTCTCCTTTTTTGTTTCTTCTTCTTTTTTTTTTTAATTTTCAAAAAGAATACCTTCTAAAATTTCACTTTGGAAGCTTCACCGCCTTCGAGAGCCTTTCATGTGCTGCTAGAGTTTCATTTTGGAACACCTGTCATTTGATGACAGCATGTGTGAGGTTTTGAGACGTGGGAGAACCACAGGGTTTTCTTCTTTCAGAAGAGGGAGATTGATTGTTTTATTTTCCCTCGATGTTTCACATCTCCTGATTTAGCCACTATGTAACATTATGCCATAGCTCATCTGTCGGCCCTAAATGGCTGATTCTGAATGATTCAAGCCATTTGAAAGACTCCCAGGTTGTGGTTTGGGCCACAGTTGGGCAGGGCTTGCATTCCTGGATAATGTTTTGAAATCCTACTGGGTTCCTAAGCCCTGGCCACTGACCTTTAATAACTGTAATACCTCTTCTCTGATGTTCCTTCTGATCCCCTAACAGAAATCATTGCAACTCCTTTTATTTAAAAGCAAAACAAAAAGCACAGACCAAGTTGATTCTAATAAACTACAATACGTGACTTGTGTAAGTGCTTTTGATGACAACTTCTGAACTGTATGGATTATGAGCATTTTGTCTTGTCTGGACACTTATCCAGACAGTGACCTAGTTGTTCACTGATTCGTGTGTCTGGGGTAGGGCATGTCTTGATGCAGGGCTCATTAGCAGCATTGAACTCTGGCTCATAATCCCAGCACTTTGGGAGGCCATGGCGGGCAGATCACAAGGTCAGGAGATCGAGACCATCCTGGCCAACATGATGAAACCCCGTCTCTACTAAAAATACAAAAAAAAATTAGCTGGACATGATGTCGCGCGCCTGGTGTCCCAGCTACTCAAGAGGCTGAGGCAGGAGAATCACTTGAACTTGGGAGTCGGAGGTTGCAGGGAACAAAGATTGTGCCACTGCACTCCAGCCTGGCGACAGAGCGAGAGTCCATCTCAAAACAAACAAACAAAAAAACAACTCTGGCTCATAAATCACATCTCTCTGAGAGACCACATCACTAGGGAGCTGGCCCCAAGACCCGAGGCTGGGAGCTCCCTTCCGTGTCTGGCGTCCCTAATTTCATCTCTCTGAGCTGTTTTATTGCCACTCCTCTTTTGGAAACATAGATGTAAATAAATGATGGCTTTCTCTAATTATAACCTGCCCCCAAAGAGCAAAATCTGTTAACTTGCAGGGATTTTGCATGCATCAGCTTCCAAATGTCGAGACTTGCAATCCGAACCCCCAAAAATGATGGTCCCGTTTCCTTGTTCATGGACCCTATTACCCACCTCCCTAATTCCTTGTGCCACTGGGCCTCATCCCTCTGTAGCCTCCTGGCTGTTCACTTCCAAAAATCCAATGGTCAAGGCCCTGGGGATGTGAGAAGGTAACTAGAGAGGACCAGGGAGGAATCTCTTTGCCTCTGAGACCTGTCCTGTTGTGGGTCTCTTAGTCATCCCTTCATTCATTCCTTTCCAAACCTTAGAACACTGCTATGCTCATCTGAGAGTTTTGAATTTCTTCTCTCCTCCCTGTGTCTCTGGATTTCTCCTTCACCATCTCCATTATCTGCTCTGTACTCACACATGATTACTAACCCAGAGGCACCTCGCCCTTCACACACACTCTCTCTGTCTCTTCTGCATATGAACATCTTCACCTATAGCTGGCTTGGCAGAACATCCCATACCATCACGACCAGGCCAGCGCTTTCCCTGAGCCTCCTTCAGACCCATAAGTGCCCAAGCCAGTGTTAAATGCCCTGAGAGTGTGGCAGGACGGGGGAGCCACGTGTATCACAGTCAGCATCACAGCCCAGACGATGTATAAAAGTCAATGACAGGGACCCTCCTGACGATACCCTACTGAAAAACAACAACCACAACCACAACAGGCCCTTTCACCTCATTTCACTGTGGTTGGCTACTTGATGTTGGCTCTAATATTTCAACCTTATTTATATGGACTTTGATTCTTATTGATACATAATAGTTGTACATATTTTTCACGTATATATACTCTGATATCTGTACATAATGTGCAGTGGTCAAATCAGGGTAACTGGGATATCCATCACCTCGAACATTTATCTTTTCTTTGTGTTGGGAACATTACAAGTCTTCACTTTTGGCTACTTTGACATATGCAACAAATTATTGTTAACTATAATTTCCCTACTGTTCTATCAAATGCTAGAACATATTCCTTCTAGCTAACTATTTTCATATCCCTATATATACATAGATTTTTAAAAAGCAAAGCCGCAAGGAGAGGGATAAGTGCTGTTCCTCCTTCCTACAGATACAGAATGAAGAGAGAGCAGGTGCACACAGCTTGTTCACTGCTTTTCCCTCTGGGCCTCAGATTCACCACTCAGCAAGGTTAACCAGGACCCCTCACTGGTGGGGGAGACGTTTTTACCCGTCTCATCACAGTTACCCAGAGTGTCAAGTTCCCCTGATCATTCCTGAACTAAGGAGCTGTACTCACCATTCTTCGGGGGCTTTCCTGCCCCCGCTGGAGTTCGCACATTGGATGGGCAACCTGCAGGCTGCAGCCTGGTAACCAAGGCAGTGGGTCTTAGCATCCCAGCCAAGCCTCTGCAGTGACTAGCCAGGTAGCTTTCATCAATTTCTCCTCTGCAAAATGGGATGACATACACCAACCTACTTGAGACGGTAATTAAGAGAGGAAATACATAGTCACATTATGTCATTAAAAAGCAGTGAAAGCAGCATAATAATGCTGAGTTATGGTGCAAGAAGCCTTTCTGCTAATTCTCCCCATGCATTTAACAAGCATGGACTTTTCACACCGTGCGATTTCCCTGTTGAGGAGGCAACTGAGGCAGAAAGTTAGAATGATGTGCCCAGGGCCACAGAACAAGGAGGGATCAGGACCCTGACCTGGATTCTGCCTCGCGGGCCTAGTTTGTAAATGCTGGACCACCTGACCACCCCTATCGCCTCAATAAGGTATGCAGGGACATCTATTTTTAACCCCGAAACCACTGAGCACAGCAGGCCAGCAGCTGCTCCAAGACGGGGAACCATATCATATCACCATCCCTGTTTCCCCTTCCATCACCCATGCATTTCATGTATCCCCTTGTCTGCTGAGAGGTCATTTGACTTAACAACATGACCCAGCCAGCGACCTGGGCACAGGCAGCTTTGATCATTTGCCTTTTTCCTCCATGTAACCCTGTGTCCTCCAGGCAGCACTTACTCTGCTTCCTGGATTTCTGCTAGTTATCCCCTTGAGTCCCTGCTACAAATCTAGGGTATGGGAAAATTGTCTGCAAAGCTCAGAGCACTTCAGCCCTCTGGCAAGTTCCAGAGCAGAGGTGGGGACAGGCTGGGAGCAGAATAGGTTCTCGGTCAGGATTGAGCCTGTTCTTCCAGGATAAGCCCACCATGTTTAAGGGGGCAAAACAAGCAGGAAAAGCTGAGGATGGAGAAGGCAATTATTGTGGCTTCACAGATGGCCTCAGAGAGCAGGAGTTACAGGGCAAACAGGGGGCGGCAAAGATTTCTGCTGCTGTCGGCCACCCAGAACCCTGTGGTCAGGACATGTCGTGGTTAAACAGCGACGCGGCTTTCTGACAGTGGTTTTGACTTTCTTTCACTGGTGTTTCTCCTGAGCCTTCTGTGTGTTCATGGCTACAGTGCTATGTTGACTTGCACCTCCTGAACTCACCCCAGGGACCCTCTCTCCCTAGTGCTGCAAAGGAAAAAGGTCCCTATCTACACTGAGTTGCTTGACCCTGGATCTAGGAGTCGACTTCACAAAACCCCATGTCACGTGGTAGGAAACACGCCAAGGCAGCTGTTGATTTAGTGAGTGGGATGGAAGGAAGTGGAGCCGCTGAACCTCCTGACGCAGTTCTGCAGGATTAGTGAGGCTGGGCCTGCCCTTGGGGAGCATGCTTTTCGAGAATCGTCTTCAGGAGACGACCTTGTCACACTTGATATAGAACTTCCTCGGCATGTGGGAGCCAAGGAGAGAGATGGCTGGGTCTGCCCCTTTCTGAATAGAGGATATCCAGACCCCACAGAAGTGACTCTCCAACTGAGGCAAGGCCCCCTGTAGCTGGCTGGTCCTCATTCTGGGTATTTATAAAGACCCTTCTTTATCAAGACCTCTCACTGTCCTCTATGCATCAAATTCCAGAGTATTAAAATTAAAAGATACTAGTTGGAGGTTAAGGTAGTCATTGGAAGAGAAATAAATTACCCCCAAGGACTAGGTGATGAATGTGTAGAACCTGTTACCCCCAACACTGGCCTTGCTAAAACTGAAAACAAAAAGGTGGGTAAAAGAAGGCTTTAGGTAGATCCTGGGCTGATGGATAATAGATAATAGGGCCGGGTATAGTGACTCACACCTGTAATCCCAGCATTTCAGGAGGCTGAGATGGGCAGATTATTTGAGGTCAGGAGTTTGAGACCAGCCTGGTCAATGTGGTGAAACCTCATCTCTACTAAAAATACAAAAATTAGCCAGGCGTGGTGGTGCACACCTATAATCCCAGCTATTCGGAAGACTGAGGCAGGATAATTGCTTGAACTTGGGAGATGGAGGTTGCAGTGAGTCAGGATCATACCACTGCACTCCAGTCTGGGCGAGAGAGCAAAACCTTGTCTCAAAAATAATAGATAATAAAGATCCTCTATTGAGATCTCGAGGGTACACCCCTAGAATCAGCTCCCCTCACAGAGCTTTGACAGAGGACAGGGAGGGTGAAGAGGAGTAAGACCTGAGAGTGAGAACTGAGGTTCCAAGGCTCTGGGGCCAGACCAGGGAGACCGAGGTGTCGACTCCACACCTCAGCAGGTGGGGTTGGGGCTTTCTGCCTGCACCTGCTTCCCTGGGATTCCCCAGGTTGGCTCTGCCCTTCCGAAAGCGGGGGTGGGAGCGGCCGTATCTCCTACCTCATGGGCACCAGAGTCACTTCTCAGGAGGCGGGCTTGCCACTGCTGCCAAGGAGCCAGCTAACCTCTTGTTATATTAGAACTAGGATTTCAGCTGGGCGCGGTGGCTCACGCCTGTAATCCCAGCACTTTGGGAGGCAGGGGTGGGCAGATGACCTGAGGCCCGGAGTTTGAGACCAGCCTGGCCAACATGCAAAACCCCATCTCTACTAAAAATACAAAAATTAGCAAGGTGTGGTGACACACACCTGTAATCCCAGCTACTCAGGAGGCTGAGGCACAAGAATTGCTTTAAACTGGGAGGCAGAGGTTGCGGTGAGCCAAGATCGCTCCACAGCACTCCAGCCTGAGTGACAAGGGAGACTGCGTCTCAAAAACAAAAACAAAAACACCTAAGATTTCAAAAAAGGAGGGAGCGCCTGTCTAATTCTGGTAGCTGGTTTGCTGTTGTTCTCCAAGCATTCCTATGGGGCTTTTGTTGCTTCATGGTTCATATTAACCAAGCCCAAATTCCAGAACATTCCATCCTCCTGGAAAGCCTTCCATTCCTGACTACGCATTCAGAGCAGGTAGGCTGTGGGCACTTGGTTAAGGTCAATGCCTGCCATTCCCCCATGAGGCCCTGTGTGAACAGGACTGGGAAGATGAGGATAAGAAGGGCCCCAGGGAGCTCAGCCCGGGCATTCATGCGTCATCTCTGCTGTCTGCTTCCTCTTGTTCCCACGGTACCATTTCTTCCAAGGAGCTGATCCCAAAACCTGGGCTCCAGTCTTTTTGTTCTTTTGTTTTTTGTTTTTGAGCCAGGGTCTCACTCTGTCACCCAGGCTGGAATGCAGTGGTGCAATTGTAGCTCACTGCAGCCTTGACCTCCTGGGCTCAAGCAATCCTCCCACCTCAGCCTCCCAAGTAGCTGGGACTGCAGGCATACCCCACCATGCCTGGCTAATTTTTGTATTTTTGTATAGAGACAAGGTCTCACTGTGTTGCCCAGGCTGGTCTCAAACTCCTGGGCTCAAGCAATCCCCCCATGTCAGCCTCCCTAAACACTGGGATTACAGGGGTGAGCCACTGCACCCGGCCTGGGCTCCAGTCTTATATTTCTTGATTAGAAATCCAAGATAAGCCAGCCATGGTGGCTCACGCCTGTAATCCCAGTACTTTGGGAGGCCAAGGTGGGTGGATCACTTGAGGTTAAGAGTTTGAGACCAGCCTGGCCAACATGATGAAACCCTGTCTCTACTAAAAATACAAAAATCAGTCAGGTGTGGTGGCACGCACCTGTAGTCCCAGCTACTCTGGAGGCTGAGGCACAAGAATTGCTTGAACTCGGGAGGTGGAGGTTGCAGTGAACCAAGATCGCACCATTGCACTCTAGCCTGGGTGACAGAGCAAGACTCCGTCTCAAAAAAAAAAAAAAAAACAAACATCCAAGACAAAGAGAATGCAAGTCCTTTGTGGGGAAAACAGACTCTTTTTAAAGTAAATCTACATCCAAATAGATAGCACTCAGACCGAGTTTGGAAATACCACTCCAGGACAAATCATTTTTCCAGGAGCTGTTGGTGCCTTGGAGCTTCTTATGAGATGGGGCTGAGAAATATCTTACTGGCAGGAAGCTTGGCTGTTGACCTAGAGACTCCAACAACAGCATTCTTTTCTTCTAATTACAGTGAAGACAGAGTCATTGAGCACTACAAGAAACTGAACGGTCAGACAAGAGGTCAAGCAATCGTAAAGTAAGTGGCCCCTTCCCAGCTCACATGGGGACAGTGTTTGTGTGTGTTAATATATCGTATGTCAGGATTGTTCAGTTCCTCTCCAAAGACATATCTGGGAGTGGGGGGTGTATGTTTCCATTTAATTTTCAAGTAAATAATCACTCCGAGAACTTTATCACGTACACATACACAAATATATATATGATACCAGATCTGCTGAATAACTAGCCTTTTGCGCATTGTGTGTGTGTTTGTGTATCTTCGTGTTGTCATTCCAGCTACATGAGCATCGTGGAGTCTCTCCCAACCTACGGGGTTCACTATTATGCAGTGAAGGTGAGTAGACTCATTTGGTGAAGGTTACCAAACCTCCCCTAAGCAAACAAATCAAAACATCTCGTTATATGTTTTCTTCTTTTTCTTTTTCTTTTGAGATAGAGTCTTGCTTTGTCTCCCAGGCTGGTGTGCAGGGTGCGATCTTGGCTCACTGCAACCTCCACCTCCCGGGTTCAAGCGATTCTCCTACCTCAGCCTCCTGAGTAGCTGGGATTACAGGCATGCGCCACCACACCCAGCTAATTTTTGTATTTTTAGTAGAGACGAGGTTTTGCCATGTTGGCCAGGCTGGTCTGGAACTCCTGACCTCAGGTGATCTGCCTGCCTCGGCCTCCCAAAGTGCTGGGATTATAGGCGTGAGCCACCGCGCCTGGCCCTCATTGTTTTTTTCTTTATAATTCCTGGTGGGAATGGAGGTTGTGGAGGACTTGGTCAGGAAGATTGCACACTGCGGGGAGACAATTTCAAATACAGAAAACTTCATCCAGTTAACTTGCTTCAACCTGTGGTCCATTTCTTTGTCAGCCCTAGAACTTAACAGAAAGGCTGCCTCTGATATATATGCTTTCTGCCTTCCAAGAAAACTTCAAAACTGTGCTCTTTATTTCAGTTTGGTAAAGATCAAAAGCAGGGCTTGTGATTTTCAAAGTGCCAAAGGAGTAGAGGTGTTTGGCACTTAGAACCTCAAAGCATAAGCAATGGCTCTGCTACTAATTTGGAAAAGAGCACGAATCCAGGAAACCTGGCCCAGCTGCACCAGGCTCCCTGTCTGGTGGCCTTGTGGTCTCACTGATGCCATGTTTTATGGTGTGATGACAGCCCTTCTCTGGTCAATCTGCTGTTGCAGTGGCATTGGGTTTCCTCTTGTTCTGTTCTCTGAAACCGTTGCAGTGCACACAGCTGCTTCCCAGAGGCAGGGGTTTAATACAAGGATTTTATCCCACCTTTAAAGTTTTAAGAAATCATATACCCAGAAGCTTGAAAAGAAATTTCAAAATTTATCTCTTTTGCCTTTCATCTTTTTGCTCATCTTGAAATAACTCACGCCCCACAAATATTTCAAAACCGTGATGCCAGTTTCAAGTTTTCCAGACACCCACTATGGGGTTGTATTAGGTTATTTAGAAACTTGGCAATTAGGGAAAAGCTGCTTGATATGCTCACTATAAAATCCTAGCTTCTGGGGGCTCTAATTAACTCAGAATCATCCTATTTGAATATAGAATTGCAACTTACGCTCAGGTGACAAGAGGTCTCTGTTAATAAACAGTGGGGGCAGGCGCAGTGGCTCATGACTGTAATCCCAGCACTTTGGGAGGCCAAGACGGGTGGATCAGCTGAGGTCAGGAGTTTGAGACCAGCCTGGCCAACATGGTGAAATCCTGTCTCTACTAAAAATACAAAAATTAGCCAGACGTGGTGGCACGTGCCTGTAATCCCAGCTACTTGGGAGGCTGAGGTGGGTGAATTCCTTGAACCTGGGAGGCGGAGGTTGCAGTGAGCCAGGATTGTGCCAATGCACTCCAGCCTGGGTGACAGAGTGAGACTCCATCTCAAAAAAAAAGGAATAAACAGGGACTTGGTGTTTCTAATTCAGTCCTGAGACTGTTTCAGCTTCCACTGTGCTACCCTGTCCAACAGCATGAGTCCTAAAACCCTGCCTGGCACCCAGCTGTCATCTTGGGTGAGCAGGACCTCAGGGTGACACCTTCCAGCCTGTGCTCCCCGGAGCTGGGGAAGGTCCTGGGTAAAGCTGGGCCAACTCTTTGCTGTGATTTGTTGTTAAAATGAGAGGAGTCACTTTCCATAGTCTCCACAGCTCCTCTGGCTCTGACCATCGATGACAGTTTCTCTGCCCAGAAGGTCCTTTTATTAGGTGTGACATCTCACAGATTTTCAGTTGTGGTGAGTGAGCATCCCGGCATGGAATGCCTAAATTCTTAGAAGGAAAAAAAAGAGAGAGAGAGAGCGCAAGCAGGGCATTCATTCCTTATTTATAAAGGGAAAGGACCTCGGCTGTGCGGCTGATTAAGAGCAGAGCCAGGCCCCCAGCCCCCGGCACTCCCCATGTCACCCTCTTCACATAACAGAGTATCCTTCAATGACAGACGCATCTGTTAAGAAACAAAGTAGACAGGTGGGCTCCATCCATTCCAAGGAAATGGCCCTTTCCCTCGTCTGCCCCTGAGCCAGGAAATCTCCACTTTGCGTGTGTTTACTTCCTCCAGTCCCATATTCACCCAAACTTTTTTTGATATCCTAGGACAAGCAGGGCATACCATGGTGGCTGGGCCTGAGCTACAAAGGGATCTTCCAGTATGACTACCATGATAAAGTGAAGCCAAGAAAGGTAAGGCTGGTCTCCTGCTTGGGTTTAACTCCTCTCAGATCCAGAGAGGAACAGGCGTAGGAGTCACTTTAAAAATGCTAACGCCATGCAGCCTAAAGGCTCACCAATCTCCTGCTAATTTTAGTGTATACAAATTACTCCACAGCAATCCCATCTGAGTTCCCTGGGTAAATATTTTTTCTTTTTTTTCTCCCTGTCTCTAAGGAAATCTAAGCTGTTATAATTACTTAAGGTGAGATGACTGGCTCAGTTCTCCCCAGAGCAGATAGGCAAAGAGACTTTTGAGGGACTATCCTGTTCCTTAATTTCGGGCAGGGCTGTATTCTTTGGAAAAATGATGTAACATTTCTCTTGAATCCTGAAGCCAGTCTGAGTTCTCCCAAAGATTTCTGGGACAGGATCAGGGGAGGTGGGAGAGCTGAAAGAAGAGATTGCAGGTCAAAAAGAGCTGAAAGGCTGGGCACGCTGGCTCACGCCTGTAATCCTAGCACTTTGGGAGCCTGAGGCAGGTGGATCACTTAAGGCCAGGAGTTCTATACCAGCCTGGCCAACATGGTAGAACCCTCTCTCTACTAAAAATACAAAAATTAGCTGGGCATGGTGGTGCATGCCTGTAATCCCAGCTACTTGGGAGGCTGAGGCATGAGAATCGCTTGAGCCCGGGAGGCGGAGATTGCAGTGAGCCAGGATTGCCCTGCTGCACTCCAGCCTGGGTGACAGAACAAGACTTTGTCTCAAAACAAAAAACAGAAAAGCTGAAAAATAAGAGAGAGAGGGTTTCCTGGAAATCCAGCACATATTTTCTGGCTCAATAAAGGTGATCAGAAAATAAGGTTATTTGCTGAAGAGGGAGAGAAACAGAAAACGGTTTGCAAAGTCCTTGTAAACCCAAAATGGAATGTTTGAAAGGGATACAACGTTTGAATTTTCTCTGTTTTCATTTACAAACACTTTTCAGACCAGAACAAATTGAAAAATTATAATGGAAACATATCTTAGAGGCGAGTGCTATCATTCAGATCCCCCGGTGGAGAATAAAGGAGATGGTATGCAGTCCAAACCCTGAAATACATATTAAAAACCTATGAAAACCACACTTGCTTTAGCAGAGAGAAAGCAATATTGGGCCATTATGTCATTCCAGATTGCTTTCCAAGCTGTTTTATCCTCGAATAGGATTGAAACCCACACTACATATCTAAGTGGATTGTAGGCTCTCCAGTTAACATCTGTCCTTGGCAAACTTCTTTATTAAATTGATAGAAGAAAAAATGTTCCCATGTTGGGAGGATTTTTACTCCATTGATCAGTAAGGTGGTTAAGTTCTAAGAAAAGATGCTGAGCAAATGATGGGGGAATTATTGACTGAGAACAATTCAGGAAGAACCTGGCTCTTTGGCGGGTGGAGGGAGTGTTGTTTTGCGGCTATCTCCAAAGCCTTTCCTTATCCATTTATATGCAACAAGAAATGAATTGGACCCCCTGTTCTTACCTTTTCTGGCTTTGTGTTCCTCAATTGTGGGATCCATACCTCTTCCTCCCTGTATTTTTCTTCCTGTTTTCCCTGTGCCTTTTTCCCACGTGGCATTTTTAATTTTCTGTGCCTTTTCTTCCTGAGTTCTCTCTTCCCTCCTTCTTTTTAGAACAACCCTTCTCTTTTTGTTTTTTGTTTGTTTGTTTGTTTGTTTGTTTGAGATGGAGTCTCGCTCTGTCTCCCAGGCTGGAGTGCAGTGGCACGCTCTTGGCTCACTGCAACCTTTGCTTCCCAGGTTCAAGCGATTCTCATGCCTCAGCCTTTCCAGTAGCTGGATTACAGGCGCCTGCCACCACGCCTGGCTGATTTTGTATTTTTAGTAGAAATGGGGTTTCACCATGTGGGCCAGGCCTGTCTCAAACTCCTGACCTCAAGTGATCTGCCCTCCTCAGCCTCCCAAAGTGCTGGAATTACAGGTGTGAGCCACCACACCTGGCCTGACTCTTCTCTTTTCAACCTGCCTGACTGTTTTTGCACTTGCAAAAGCCAAGAATACTCCCTAAAGCCTTTAACAAAATTCTGGCTGCAATACATTGAGCTCTCTCTTGCCTGTAGTGGTGGAAGACCAAGGCCGACATGCATAATTGAGGTCTACAGCAGAGATAATTAAAATCCAGCAGTTGAAATCTCTTCTCCCTCTAAGCTTTTTAGAGGACATGCTAACAAGTATTCATACTTGTTTGGTTCAATTTATTAATATGTTTAAGCTTTCTTTATTCCTCTAATTGAGGTTCTAATGAAGAGTGAAGAGGTGATGAGCTAGCACTTGATGTATGTAAAACAGGAAAGGATGCATAGCTAGGGCTCAGTCAATTATAACTATTATTATAAGATGCTAAAACAGGCTTCAAGATAAGAATTAAGAGGCCAAAGGCATGAATAATCAGCCATCAAATAAGAGAATTTACAATAATGAATGGAACTTATCCAGGTCCATGAATTAAAAATGTCAAAAGGTCAATATAGTTTTCCAGGCCATTGTCTCTAACCCAAACTGGGTTGTTATTGAAAATCACTTGGGTTTCTGTGGCCTTGGAGGAAGAAGTTAGAATTTTCCAGCCCATTCCTACTTGAAGGACAGACTACCAATCTGTCACAGCCATCACTCATTCATTCGCTCAAAAAAACAGTTATTGTGGCCGGGCGCAGTGGCTCACGCCTGTAATCCCAGCACTTTGGGAGGCCGAGGCGGGTGGATCACTTGAGTTCAGGAGTTCGAGACCAGCCTGGCCAAAATGGTGAAACTCCGTCTCTACTAAAAATACAAAATTAGCTGGCCATGGTGGCACATGCCTGTAATCCCAGCTACTGGGGAAGCTGAGGCAGGAGAATCACTTGAACCTGGAAGGCAGAGGTTGCAGTAAGCTGAGATCGCACCACTGCGCTCCAGCCTGGGTGACAGAGCCAGATTCCATCTCAAAAATAAATAAATAAATAAATAAATAAATAAATAAATAAATAAATAAATAGAAAAAGAAGAAGAAAAAAAAGTTATTGCATACCTATTAGGTGCCAAGCACATCACTGGGCACTGAGATGAGACATAAATCCTGTCCTCCAAGATGTGTGATAATCCAGCCAGTGTCTGAGTGGTGTAATAGGAATCTGTGTGAGGGTCGGGGATGATTCAAGAAGGCAGGCGTCAACTGGGTGTAAGGAGAAGAGAAGTCCCCACAGAGGAAGCAGAGAGTGAGTGGGGTCTTCAAGGGTGCAAAGAATTTTGCAGACGGAGGAATGGGGCGGGGAGGCATGCAGGGGAGAGGCCAGTGTGCCTGAAATCACAGTGACAGGGGTAGGGGACACAGTGCCCTTCATTCTGGAACATCAAGTGAAAAGAGAGGAGTTGGTGAGGGGGCTGGGGCCTGCAGGCTCCTGGAGGCTTGAAGGCTCTGCGAAGAGGACTTCCTCCTCTATAGGGAGTGTTAGCCGCGGTCTATTTGAAGCTGAGGAGTATAGTGTCAGATTTCCATTGTCGTAGAAGCACTCTCCGGAAACTGCTTGGAGGCTGGATAGGAAAAACCCAGGACAAGACTGAGAAACCAGGACATGATGAGGGTAGGGCGGGCAACACCTGGCGGGGCTTCAGGATGGAGAAGGGGAACCAAGATGTTGAGAAGGTGTGTGTTACTCATCACCTGTAGGCGGAAGAGGGAGGCCATGAGAGAAGGAGGGCAATGCAGAATGACTCCCAGGCTTCAGGATCCACCAGAGTGTGGACGCTGAGAGAAGAGGAGGTCTGGGAGTGACAGATGAGGGATGAGTGCAGCTTAGGACATGCAACGCGGCAGGCTTGATGGGACATCCAGGTGCCTGTGACTAGTAGGCAGTTGGGCATTCAGCTGGAGCTCAGGAGTAGCAAGAATTTCCAAAGCATCACTGAACCAGAGACTGGACAGAGGGAGGAGGTTGGATTGGCAGTTGGCACACCAGTAGCTAGGAGTGAAGAGTTCATTTCCCAATCACGACGATCACGGTGAGATGCAGAGGCAGCTTCCGTTGCATGGGCTCTGAAGCTTACATAATTTGGGGCCCTCCTTAAGAAATGAATGTACAATCTGAATATAAAATTAAGAACAGGCCTTTGGCCAGGTGAGGTGGCTCACGCCTGTAATCCCAGCACTTTGGGAGGCCGAGGCGGACAGATCACCTGAGGTCAGGAATTCAAGACCAGCTGTCCAACATGGTGAAACCCCATCTCTACTAAAAATACAAAATTAGCCAGGCCTGCTGCGGGGGCGGGGCGCCTATAATCTCAGCTACTCGGGAAGCTGAGGCAGGAGAATCATTTGAACCCGGGAGGCGGAGGTTGCAGTGCGCTGAGATTTCGCCACTGCACTCCAGAGCGAGACTCCATCTCCAAAAAAAAAACCAGGCCTTTGAAAAGCCCTTGAGGGAAAGCAAAACCTTAGTTTTGTTAGCTTCTAGGGGTACCCCCCCACCCCGCTAAGATGTCAGATGGAACTTAAAGGCAAGGCCGTGGACTCAGCTGGAGCCATTGTTAAGAAGCCTTAGCTACAAGAAGACCTAAACGGGGTGCCTGTTTGTTTTTCTTGCATTGCCAACCTCATCACCATTATAAAAAGGCCATCTGTGTTATGTTTAAGGGACATGTCAGTTTCTGAGGCTACAAAAAGCCCCACACCCTGATCCCAGATCTCAGAATCTGAAAAGATGCACACACGTGTGAATGCATATCGATGCAAGTCCGCACCTAAGCCAAAAGTCTGTCTTCAGTGCCTCCAGGCCAGTGGCTCTTAACCTCCGCTGTACATCAGGAACTCATCTGAAGCTGCTGGGACATCTAGATGCCACAGCCCCCTGCAGGCCTTCTCACCTACACCTCCGACCAGGCCACTGAGCCCAGAAGAAGCCCCACAGGGATTCTGATGTCCTGGAGACAAGGACCACCACTGGCAGCCCTCTGTGCTTTGAAAACTCAGACATGGGGAAGGTCAGCCAGGCTCCCTAGTGTGGCCAGCAGTGTCCCTGCACACCGAGGGCAGGGGAGGTCCCATGCATGGGCCTCATGGCTGGGTGAGCCATCTGGGAGGGGTGGCACTCCAGGGGATGCCACTCCCTCTTGGCTCTGGTGCTTGGCACATCTCTGCCACCTCGAGCCTCCAGGGATGCTCAGGCAAGGGAGTGACACCCAGCACTGTGCACCTGGAGGCTTCTGCAGTAACAGCTGCATCTCCAGCCCAGGCAGCTGCTCCTGCCCGGCGGCAGACAGAGGCCCTCCCTGACACTCTGACCCAGTTACAGCGGCTCTGTCACGTTGCACCAACACAAGAAGAGCCCATGTTTAAGTAGAGGCAGTGGCAGGGGTGAGTCTGCTCCCTCTCCTTTTCAGAGCCCAGAGGCGTCCACTGCCTGCACAGCTCCAACAGCATTGGCAACCCGTCGGCACACTCACAGGGGCTCAGCAGCCGCCTTGAGAATCCACTTAAGTGTTTCCATATGACCTACCCCTCATCCCCACAAAAAAGCCCAAACAAACAAAAAAGGCACCAAGAAAGAGTAGCTGATGACTGTCCAGAAAAGAGCACAACAGTAGCCCGTCCCTCATTCTCCAGTTGCAAGCAGTTTGCCATCCTAGTTTCAGAGTCTGCCCTCAGTCACTTAATCACCAGTCTGGAGCTTAGAGGCTCTTGGGGGTTGGAGTAAAACGCAAGGGACCTCACCGGTGGCTCCGAGAACAGAGAACATTTAAACCCCACACTCTGCTACCTGGACCTTCTAAAGAGACAGCCTCCTGGCCTTCAGAAGCACAGCCCTCAATGCAAGCTGCTGGAGTTTGTCAAAAAATCGAAAATCACAGCTTCATTGCCTGCAGGGTACACATGTCAGGAACAGCTGAACACGTGGGGACACCCTGCAGACTGGATTTTGGCTTTTGTGCGTGTTCAGAAGAGTTCAGAGACGTTGAACTTCTGAAGGCCAACTTCGGTAGTATTTTGGAACAACATATATGGAAGAACAGCTCCCAGAACACCCTAAAAAAAGCAGCAAACAAGACTAAGAAAAATCAGAATCTACAATGCATGCACCTCCCCCAGAATATCAGCCCTTGCTTGCATATATAAGTTCTTTTTAAGAGGTCAAGCAGAACCCTAAACACTATCTGAGGATAGGATGTAGAATTTTTTTTTTTTTTTTTTTTGAGATGAAGTCTTGCTCTTGTTGCCCAGGCTGGAGTGCAATGGTGTGATCTCAGCTCACTGCAACCTCCACCTCCCCGGTTCAAGCAATTCTTCTGCCTCAGCCTCCCGAGTAACTAGGATTACAGGCACGTGCCACCACACCCAGCTAATTTTTGTATTTTTAGTAGAGACGGGGTTTCACCATGTTGGCCAGGTTGGTCTTGATCTCCTCACCTCAGGGGATCCCCCCACCTTGGCCTCCCAAAGTGCTGGGATTACAGGCGTGAGCCACTGCGCCCGGCCAAGATGTAGAATTTTTTATAGGACATTAAATGTCCCGTCATCAGCTCTCAGTAAATCTACTTCAGTCCTTCACCCAATGATGTTTCCCCCTCCCTCTTTGCCTTCCTCCCCACTTCTGATCTCCTGTTTATACTCAAACGCTATGTGACACTTGGGGACATCCCTTTGAGTGCTTTGTAGCTCTCCTCTCTCCTTTGTCATGGCTACGGTTGGAATTCACAATTGTGAATGCAGCATCCAAGTACGGTGCTGACGGGATCTTACATGTCTGTCTTGGCTCAGCAGTGATGACAGAAGTAGAAAAGTCACAATAGAAAAAAAAAATCTTTTTTTTTTTTTGAGAGGGAGTCTCGCTCTGTCTCCCAGGCTGGAGTGCAGTGGCACGATATTGGCTCACTGCAACCTCTGCCTCCTGGGTTCAAGCAATTCTGCTGGTTCAGCCTCCAGAGTAGCTGGGACTATAGGCGTGTGTCACCATGCCTGGCTAATTTTTTTTTTTTTTTTTTTGTATTTTTAGTAGAGACTGGGTTTCACCATGTTAGTCAGGCTGGTCTCAGACTCCTGACCTCAAAAGATCCACCCACCTCAGCCTCCCAAAGTGATGGGATTACAGACGTGAGCCACTGTGCCCAGCCAAAAAAACAAATCTTGCAGCAATTGTTGTACCCTATTTTATGCTAGTTACCACATTCCATTTTAGCATGTGCATATGTGTGGGAATAGAAAGAAGCGCTGCTGAGGTGAGAGGCTCCGTATTTCACAAATTACCGTCCTACTGGGCTCAGGAGACAATGAGACAGTGTCAGGTTGGCATTTAGGCACCGGAGGTAAATCCCAAGTTTCGTCTTAGTTTGCATTTACGGTGGAGTAAAGAGAGCTAGGCCATCAGAAAAGAAAAAACTGCCAGCTGTGTGAAATGACTGTCGATAGCAACATGCCTCAGACTGGGTATCCCACGGGTTTCGGGCAGTTGTGCTGGTACAAGCAAGAGTTTTACCTCTTTCTTCCCTGGAAACGTTTGAATGAAAATTAAATGCTATCTGTTGAGGCATTGTTTATTAAATCTTGCAGAATCGGGATCCCACAGGGCAGATATAAGTAAGTCTGGACAAAATCTGGCTCACGTCCGGCTCTCTCTGTAGGGGAGGGGTCCTTACGTTCCTTTGATTGATTGAAGCCCGAGAAAGCCTGAGAGCTCTAATCTCTGGGACAATCTGCCTTGTTTGCAGCGTCAGTAACTGAGGCATTGGGAGACCAGGGGGTTGCACAGTCCCCAGACCTGCAGACAAACCAGCCATCTGATCATCGGAAGCCATTACACATTAAAGCAGAAAAGACTTTCCAAAAGGACACTAAGAGTTAGAATAAAGAGACCTCCAGCAGGCTGTATCTGAGGCTTTAAGCATTAGAGCAAATATTGTGAAGCACATAACTCCAAAAAAGCCTCCCTTGTAAAGAATATTCAATATCTGTAAATCATCACTTAGAAATGCAGCCCAGATTTAATGAAATCTCCCCCCTGGGAAGAAATAGCAACATCAGTCCTTGTTACATATTCAGCAGACAGCATTTACTTATTTATTTGATGTGCAATTAGGGGGGCTTTTATGTACACTTAGATGCACAATTAGGAGCACTATGGGGTCCCCTCTGAGGCATTAGGAGAAGGAACCAGAGTAAACGGCCTGCCCCCCTGTCCCTAAGCAGCCGCGGTGGCTTCCAGTGATTCCTAAGGGTATTTCGGAAGCAGGGGCATTGGCTCTGGAAATTGATGCATTACTTTCACTCCCCCGGATTAGTAAAGATTTTTGAATGAAATGAGATGATGAGACAGGAAGGGAAAATAATATTTACAGGAAATATTCCATTAACTTGGCGTGGACTCCCGGCGGCATTGCCCCGCTAAATTATGCGGTGCGGTGTACGTTCTGCCGAGTGCGCCGCGGATTTATCGTTCTCTTCTGTCGGCGTTTGCCTTGGCTCGCTTTCTCCTTGCTGGGCCTCTGACTTGACCGGCCTAGGTGGCTGCCTCCCTCATTCCAGCATCCACATTCCCCTTGGAAGCCACACCCTGTGCACACCTGGGAGAAACACTTCACTTAATGCACTCAGCATTCTTAGCATTTTGCAGCTGCCCCTTACTCATTCACAGTGTAGGACCAAAGGGCCTTCTCGTATGTTATCATTCTTTCAGATCGCAGCACAGTCTGAGTGGACCTGAACGCTTTCCATGCGTCTAGAGACCAGGCCTACTTGGCCGCGGGGGCGGGCGGGGGCGGAATTTGGGAGTAGGAGGTGGAGGGCATGGGGAGTTCCCAGAATCTGCTACTTAAAAATAACTCTCCAAGGACAAAAGGAATCATATTCTAAGAAAATTGAGATCGTCTTCTCAAAGCATCAATCCTAGACATCCTCCTTCTCAAATCACCAATATCAGACATGGCTGAATCATCTCCATTTGGAAGAATAATCCCAAACTCTAAAGAGTGGTCATCGGCTGGGCACGGTGGCTCACACCTGTAATCCCAGCACTTTGGGAGGCTGAGACGGGCGGATCACTTGAGGTCAGGAGTTCGAGGCCAGCCTGGCCAACGTGATAAAACCCCGTCTCTACTAAAAAATACAAAAATTAGCTGGGCGTGGTGATATACGCCTGTAATCCCAGCCACTCAAGAGGCTGAGACAGGAGAATTGCTTGAACCCAGGAGGCAGAAGTTGCAGGGAGCCGAGATCACGCCACTGCACTCCAGCCTGGGCAACAGCAAGACTCCATCTCAAAAAAAAAAAAAAAAAGAATGGTAATCACCTGAAAGCACTGAGCTAGCACTTAGAATTCCGTACAGGGTGGTGAATATGAAATCCTCTCCAATAAAATGGCCCCCATATGAGTATTCATGGGGGAAAGTCAGACTCGGTGAGTTTCAGTGGCAACTGACTTGAGTTTGCTTCTGCTGATGATACAGAGACAGGACCATGGGTCCAGGAGGCAGGATACCAGCATTTCCATGTGGGCCTGGCTGAGCAAGAGACTCAACTCACCAAGGCCGGTTTCTCTTCTCCCAGTGCTTCAAAGCAACCCTCTATCTTGCCCACCACATGGGGGTTTATGATAATATGGGTTGCTATCAATATTGAATGAACTGCTTTAAAAAAAAATGAATAAAACTAAAGCACTAAACAAACATAAGGCATTTCCAATTACAGACAACACTTTTGAAAGCACCCTCTGTATTCCTAGACTTTCTAGTTCTCTGAAACCCTAGGAGTTGTTGGTGAGGATGTGTGACTCTTCCTGCCTGGAAGTTCATTCACTTGTTCAGTACGTGTTGTCCGAGTGCCTGTCAGGTACCAGGCCCTGCTCTTGGCTCTGCAGAACAAGAGAGACTATGTCCCTGCATGCACAGAGCTTACAGTCTAGCAGGAAAGGCAGTCAAATTTATTTATTAAAGAAAGCTACAGCAATAGTGTTCGAGCACTAAATTCTCCCATCCAAGTACTAACCGGGCACGACCCTGCTTAGCTTCTGAAATCAGACAAGATCAGGCGCATTCAGGGCAGTATGGCCATAGACCTGAGAGTTAAATTCTACGAAGACAATAAATCAGAGTAAGGAAGAGCGGGAGGGGTGATGGCTGGTCAGGAGGGGTCTCTCAGAGCTAGGGCCGTTTCAGTGACTCTCTACTCCCGAGTGTTGTACATACGATTCCCTGGGAAGCAGTCTAAGATGAACTCGCATGCAGGAAGTTTACTGGGGTGTGCCCTGGACTAACAACAAATGGTAAAGTAAAGGAAGCAGAACCAGGCAGAGAGAGAAGCTGATGCAGTCCCAACATGGCGCCCTCAACCTAGACGAAACTCGGAAGCTAGGATGACCCCGGAGCCACCGCCATCACTGTTGAGGCTGGGGGCCAAGACTTACCCCCTCCCCCCAGCATTAACCAATCATTAGATCCAAGTGACCCCCTTGGCAAGAGGGTGGTGACCTTGGGCAAGGTGGTTCTCTGTAGCTGAGACGATTCCGGGAGAGGGCGTACGTCCTTCAGTCCTGCAGGGAGAAAGAGGCTGGTCGGTGCTGCATGGTATCTTCTACAGCAGTGGTTCTCAGTGTGGTCCTTGGACCAGCAGCATCCTCATCACATGGAAATGTGTTAGAAATGCAAACTCTGGCCAGGTGTGGTGGCTCACATGTGTAATCCCAGCACTTTGGGAGGCTGAGGCAGGTGGGTCACTTGAGGTTAGGAATATGAGACCAGCCTGGCCAACATAGCGAAGCCCCGTCTCTACTAAAAATACAAAATTAGCTGGGTGTGGTGACATGTGCCTGTAATCCCAGCTACTAGGGAGGCTGAGGCAGGAGAATCACTGAAACCTGGGAGGCAGAGGTTGCAGTGGCCGAGGTCGTGCCATCGCACTCCAGCCTGGGCGACAGAGCGACATCGTGGGACCCTGTCTCAGAAAAAAAAGCAAACTAACGGCCAGGCTAGGTGGCTCACACCTGTCATCCCAGCACTTTGGAAGGCTGAGGCAGGAGGATGGTAGCAGTTGGAGACCAGCCTAGGCAACATAACAAGACCTCATCTCTACACACACAAAATACAAAAATACAAAGGAGTAGTCCCAGCTACTTTGGAGCCTTGAGGAGGTTGAGGCTGCAGTGAGCCAAGATCACACCACTACACTCCAGCCTGGGCAACAGAGCAAGACTCCATCTCAAAAAAGAAAGAAAGAAATGCAAACTAAGGATCCCCGCCTGAGACTTACGAGCTCAGAAACTCTGAGGATGGGACTCCGCAATCTAATTCCACAAGCCTTGAAGGTGACTTGAGCACAGGCAGTGGAGCTTAAGGCCCACTGCTCTGCATACAGGCAGTTAACGAGGACCTTTCTATGAGATCCTACTTCGTTGTTTTGCTGTTGTTATGAAGACATTTTAGTCTGAGTTAAAGTCAAATTCTTTCCTAGAGCAGTTACACTTCTAAACAAAAAGAGAGAGATGTTTTGTAAATTCACGACCTTCATGACCTCCATATCCACTCCAAGACCCAAAACAGAAGTTTCTTTTTTGTTTTGTTTTGTTTTTGTTTTGTTTTTTTGAGACAAGGTCTCACTCTGTCTCCCAGGCTGGAATGCAGTGGTGCCATCATAGCTCACTGCAGCCTTGACCTCCTGGGCTCAAGCAATCCTCCCACCTCAGCCTCCCTAGTAGCTGGAGCCACGGGCGTGTGCAACACACTCGGCTAATTTTTGTATTTTTTGCAGAGACAGGGTTTTGCCATGTTGCCCAGGCCCCCAAAGAAGAATTTTCTTGACCAAAGAATTTTGGCGCTAACTCACTTCCTTGGCACTAACTCACTTCCAGTTTATTTTAGAAAGTCATGATTAGCAATTTATTTAACCTCCCTGTGCCTCTCTTTTTATATCTGTGAAGTGGGGACTAAGAGACACAGAATAGATGTAGTCTAATTTTCTCCATCTTGAATAAGTTTACTTGTCACAGAGTTTCTCATTCCCCAGGATAAAAGTGGCATTGGCCTTGACATAGCAAATATTGTTACAGTCATTTATACTGAAAACAAGAGGTGGGATGGCCTCGAAAAGCAAACAACGTCTCTTTGTGAAGAGGGTTATTTTTTTGTTGGTCACTGGACCTGGGAAGCCAGGGTTCCTCGGTTCCCACAGGGCCCTGGGAAGGCCATCCCGAGACTGGTCTGGGTAAGCCAAGCTCCCAAGGGCACCAGCCTGTATCTTGTGTTCTTGTTGAAGCCCATGCTGGTGTCAGACTGTCACCTTTGAGGAAGGTTGACCTGTCTATGAACAGAAAAAAAAAAAGCATTGCCCTGTCCAGGTGAATAATTCTTAGAGAGCAACTATTGCATGAGAGTAATTAATCTGGAAAGTCACAGGAGGGGAGGAATGTAATTATCCCCTAAAGAGGGGCAGGTCTAAATCTCTCCCAGGGTGACAAGCTTGGAGGCACCTCCTGGAAGGGGTACACTCAAGCTCCAAGAATCTCCCCAAGTTGTCTCTGAAGTCAGTCTCCAGGCCTGACATACCCTTGGGGTGCTGCACGCCTGCCCCTGCCCCCTGCCATTATTTGCCGGATACCTGGCCCAGCAGTCAAGACACCTCACAATTCTACACAATTGTGAGCCACTTCCCTGGGCCTCAGTTTTCTTAACAAGTCGGTTGATGAGATGATCGGGAATCCTGATGTTGAAGGAATCTTAAAACTAGAAACAAAGAGAAATAAAACAAGGTAAATAAAGCAAGCTCATTTTAAAGCCAGAGGGGAGTCATGAATGAAAGAAAGGATGAAAAGCAACAGTTTTCCAGAAGAAAGTGGTAGGAGGGGAAAATGCCAGTTTCTAAGTAGGTAACCCCACGTCTGTCTTTGACTCCCGTGGAGCCAGTGCTCAAGCTAGATCTGATTAAATAACCAAAAGCGGTTTTCCTACTGCAGCTGATATGTCTTTGGGGATATGTGTCTCCCAGGATTCATCTGCTTCCCACACAATGCCTGGTCTCCTCGACCTGCTGTTCTCCCTGCCCCTGAAAAGGCACGTGGACCAGCACTGAGAAAGGCCATATAAATAGCCACGTTGATTGTGTGGACAGTAGGGGTCAAACACAACACTTGGTATTTATAACATGCAAATAAACACCCAGCCAGATGACGTAGCAGCCGCCCTGAGACTGGCTGGCTTCTAAATAACTCTACAGATGCAGATTCCCATTACTCAGGGAGCCCCGTTGACCTTGGATGCAATTTGAAGAAGCAAATCAAAACCAAATGCTATCGTTGGATCCCAAACCACTGCAGAGGAGCATCCAATAGCCTCGCTCGCTCCAAAAGAAGCCATGAACCGGTAGTAACCTATGAACAGATCTGGTTTCTCTAGCTGGAAGACAGAAGACTTTGCTAGGATAATAAGAACATCGACCACCTGGGACTGAATAGACAAATCTCCTTTTTTTTTTTGAGACAGAGTCTTGCTCTTTCACCCAGGCCAGAGTGCAGTGGCACTATCTCAGCTCACTGCAACGTCCGCCTCCCGGGTTCACACCATTCTCCTGCCTCAGACTCCCGAGTAGCTGGGACTACAGGCGCCCGCCACCACGCCCAGCTAATGTTTTGTATTTTTAGTAGAGACAGGGTTTCACCATGTTAGCCAGGATGGTCTCGATTTCCTGACCTCGTGATCCGCCTGCCTCGTCCTCCCAAAGTGCTGGGATTACAGGCCTGAGCCACCGCGCCCGGCTGACAAATCTCTTTTATCTCCCACTGTTCCTTTGAACATGCTCTTCCTTTATCTCTCAATAAAAACACGGGCAGTCCCATGACTTTTCTGATCACTCCCAGGTATTACAACGTCACCCAGTCACTTTAAATAGCAAAATAAGCTTTTATTAAGAAATTAGAGTGTCCAGTTCTTTATGACAATCAAAGCTTCAAACTTGCTCTAAAGTTAAATCTCTCCATTCTCCCATCTGAGCTCCATCCCCGCTTCAGTTCGTCTGATGTCAGGGGATACCTATTAAGCTCTCCAGGTAACCCTAATGAACCCTCTCTTTCCAGGTTGAAGGAGAAGAGTACATCTTCTACCTTCCCCCTGTGGGTGGCAGAGAGTTCACAGAACATCTCCCTCTCAAGAACATTTCTAAAAATGCTCTCTCAGTTTCCACCCTCCTAAACACTTTATACCTCAATTGTGGGTGAGGGATTTTCGGGGTCATCTAACCAGAAGATATTTTTCAAATTGTGATAAAATGCACACAACATACAATCTACCATCATAACCATTTTTCAGTGGCCAGTTCAGTAAGGTATATCCCCATCATTGCGCAACAGATCTTCAGAACTCTTGTCATCTTGCAAAGCTGAAACTTTACCCATGAAACAATAACTCCTCTTTTCTCTCCCCCCATCTGCTGGGAACCATCATTCTACTTTCTGTTTCTGTGAGTTTGAACACTCATATAAGTGGAATCAAAGTTATTTGTCTTTTAGTAACCATAGGGTTTTAATATCCAAACCAAGATACCACTACAAATGAAAAGGGACATTAGTGAATAATTATTCCATGATATCAAACAAACCAGGGTTACTGGCAAACAAAGATACATGTTGACCTAGCTAACCAGCTTGGTGACCTAGCTAACCAACATAAAAACCTAGCTAACCAGCTTGGAGACCTAGCTAACCAGCATGGTGACCTAGCTAACCAGCATAGGGATGTAGCTAACTAGCATGGGGACCTAGCTAACCAACATAAAAACTAGCTAACCAGCTTGGAGACCTAGCTAACCAGCATGGTGACCTAGCTAACCAACATAGGGACCTACCTAACCAGCATGGTGACCTAGCTAACCAGCATAGGGATGTAGCTAAGCAGCATAGGGATGTAGCTAACTAGCATGGTGAGCTAGCTAACCAACATAAAAGCCTAGCTAACCAGCATGGAGACCTAGCTAACCAGCATGGTGACCTAGCTAACCAACATAGGGACCTACCTAACCAGCATGGTGACCTAGCTAACCAGCATGGAGATCTGTCTAACCAGCATGGAGATCTATCTAACCAGCGTGGATACCCAGCTAACCGGCTCCCTGCCCTTGCTTTTCACCTCTCCTGTGGAATGGTCTGCTCATGGCCCTCTCTAGTGATACTGCTCATCATAAAATGTCAGCCAGAACTTCCAGTTTACTATCCTATGGCTCTAGTTAGGCAGCGGTGAAGTTACTCACAGACAGCATAATTCATGACAAACCTGTGTAGGTGAGAATCAAACCAGTGATTGGGAAGACCAGAGGGTCCCAATGAGGCCAGCCACAGTGGCTCATGCCTGTAATCTCAACAGTTTGGGAGATTGAGGCGGGAGGATTGCTTGAGGCCAGGAGTTCAAGACCATCCTGGACAACATAGAGAGACCCTCGACTCTACAAAAAAAAAAAAAATTTTTTTTTTTAATTAGCCGAGTATGGTGGTGCATGCTTGTAGTCCCAGCTACCTGTGAGGCTGAGGTGGGGGGGTTACTTGAGCCCAGGAATTCGAGGCTGCAGTGAGCTATGATCGCATCACTGCACTCCAGCCTGGGCAACAGAACAAGACCCTGAGTCAGGAAAAAAAAAAAAAAAAAAAGAGCCCTGGCCAGTGGAATAGTTCATGCAACCACCCAATTCTTTCTCTCTAGCTTTTCCAACAGGTGTTTCTGCTGCACGGGATTTTGCAAATCTCTTTGCCAATGCTTATAATCTTTCTGAAAGGTGTACCCTGGCATCTGCTGCACTGCGTGGGGTCCCTGTACCCCCTGGAGCGAGCACAGCCTTGTCATGGGTGTCTCTTCTCTGGCCTTTGAACAGGAAGGCCAAGAGCCAGAGGAGCTCTGCCCTGCAGCCTCTCTCCGTCCTCACGTTTGACTGAAAACCAACCCCAGTCCTACCTTTAATGAGCAGTAGAAGTCACAGCTGAGAGAATTTCCTCTGTATGTGTGTGTGTATTTTTAGGCATGCACATGTGTATTTTTAAGGACATAATTGAGTTTATGTTTAAGGTTTGAAAACCCATTTACAAAATGGATCACTGGCCAGACTCCTCACTAGCCGTGTCTATGAGAGAGTGCTTGCCCATCCCCGAGGTAGAAGAACAGCACCCTGAGGTGCCGCTGCCCCAGCCGGCCTGGTGCTGACAGGCTGGAAGAAGTGAGTTGCCCTCTGTAGAGACCCCCAGAGCAGATGTGAGAAGACGGCCCTAGTGGGAGTGCCATCTGACAAGGGTCGGGGAGCTTTTTATGGACAAGGGATGCCACTAAAAATTAGGGATCCTCTGTTTTATCCTGGACTGCTAGCTCCTTTTAAATAATAAGTCTTATCGAGTTCTTTTTTTTTGAGGCAGAGTTTCACTTTATCATCCATGCTGGAGTGCAGTGGCGCAATCTCGGCTCACTGCAACCTCTGCCTCCTGGATTCCAGCGATTCTCCTCCCTCAGCCTCCTGAGTAGCCGGGACTACAGGTGCCTGCCACCACGCCTGGCTAATTTTTGTATTTTTAGTAGAGATGGGGTTTCACCATGTTGGCCAGGGTAGTCTCAAACTCCTGACCTCAGGTGATCCGCCCACCTCAGCCTCCCAAATTTCTGGGATTACAGGCATGAGCCTCTAGGCCCAGCCAGAGTTTCATTGAGTTTTAATCAAAGACTGTCTTGTGATCTGTGATTAATCCAGACTAGGATTCAGTAGGCAAAAGAGCAGAGGGCCACAAGGGGAGTACCTTGTCACTGTCCATTTCTCCCCATCCTCCAAAGCCCAAGGCACCCACTCATCTACTTTGTGTCCCTATGGATTTGCCTATTCTGGACATTTCCTAGAAATGGAACCATATGGTATGTGGCCATTCGTGTCTGGCTTCTTTCACTTAGAGAATGTTTGCAGGGTTCATCCCTGTTGCAGCACACATTAGTACTGCATTCCTTTTTTAGGGCTGCATAATATTCTATCGTCCTTTGATGTTTATTTCAGCATTTTCTACACTTGTACAGCAAACACAAACACACAAATGACGCCCCTGACTTCTGTATCTGCAGTCATCCTTTTCCCTCACATAGCTGCCCAGCTTTGCCCCTGGTTTCTTTCTGATATTGACTCGATGTCACTTCACCAACACCTTCCCTGGCTACCTTGTTAACAGTGGCAAACCCTGTCCTATCCTTCCCTGGTTCCCATTTGTGCTTCAAACCTGTTATCTTCTAACTTACTGTATGTACCACGTAGTTTTCTTATTTATTTCTTATTTATTTGCCCACCTCTCCCTTCATAAGAATGTGCAGGATACACTGCTGTATCCTCAGTGCCTGACACAGTGCCAGGTCCATGGTAGCTACTCAACACGTGGTTGTTGAATGGATAAAAGTTGCCGGAGCAGAATATCTAATCATTTTTGCGACCCACTGCTAATTTCACAGACTCCTCCTTATGTCTGTGGATAGTGGCCTCATTGATTGATGCTTTAAGAACATAACTGGGGCCAGGTGCAGTAGCTCATGCCTGTAATCCCAACACTTTGGGAGGCTGAGGTGGGCGGATCGCCTGAAGTCAGGAGTTTGAGACCAGTCTGGCCAACATAGTGAAACCCCGTCTCTACTAAAAATACAAAAATTAGCTGGGCGTGCTGGCGCGCACCTGTAGTCTGAGCTACTCAGGAGGCTGAGGCAGGAGAATTGCTTAAACCCAGGAGGCGGAGGTTGCAGTGAGCCAAGATCACCCCACTGCACCACAGCCTGGGCGACACAGCAAGACTCTGTCTCAAAAAAGAATATAACTCATCCAAGGAAGGGTTGCAGAGAGCTCCACGTAGAGAGCAAGATAGTTGGGAGGAGAATGGAGGAGAGGGACTGGCTTTTTACAGCTTAGGTTTGCTGATGAAAAAATGAAAAGCATAAAAATTGCTCCCATCTGGGCTCTCCTTTGATTTTATTTTTGTCCATAGCACCAAAAGAACACAGAGTAATGAGGATATCTTGAGTGAATTGCTGGAGTACTGCAGACCCTTGAATAATTCTGGTTAATCTAGACTTCTTTGCTTTCTTCTAAGGATCTGTTCAGTTGGGAAACCCTGCTTGTCGACTTCTGGTAACCTCTTTGTCTTGGCCAGTTTTAACAGCTTGTTTCTGCTGAACCAGCCAATACTTAGGAAGCTGTGTAAGGCTTTTTTTCCCCCTCCTTCTTCTTAATGAGTTTGATTCAGAGGGGAAGCCCAGGCTGAACTGACCTTCCGGAAAATGTAAACCTGTTTAACACCAAACCTTACACAGCCAGAACATGCTGTGCCCAACTCTGCCTGCCCGCCTTGGGCTGTGAATCGGCACCTGCAAGTAGGGCTCAAGGGTGTTACAGTCGGGGTCCTACCTGCCTGGGGTCATTCTTGACCACCTCAAGCAGACAGAGGCAATTTCTAGGCAACATGATTTGTAAAGATCTGACCTCTAGGTTGGGAGTAGGCTTCCAGTTTGAGACCATGAGCTGCTGGAATCGTAGACTTCCCCAGTTCACCTTGGAAGAGTAGAGTTCAGTTCTAACAGAGCTGCCAGAAAGAAGGGCTACGGCTCCTCGGCTGTGGCTCTTACCATTGTCCCTCCTTGAGCTGACTCTAACTGCCATTTCCCTATTATCGCATCCCTTGCAGCTTAGAAATGTATTTTTAACAATATATCTGGGTTCAGCCACTGGAGGTTCCTCACATGGTGGAAATAGCATGGAGTCGAGCAGACAGAGGAGGGCTCAAGTGTCACCTCCCACCATGTGGCGTCTGTGTGACCTTGAGAAAGTGACTTAACCTCTCTGAACTTCAGTTGTCATAATAGCTAATATCTCAAAAAGCTCTTCATTCATTCATTCACTCACTCAACAGACAACTATTGAGTGTCTAATATGCCCCCAGGTACATGCTAGGTGCCAGGAAAACATACTCAAGGAAATTTGAGTCTGGTTGAGGAAGACATTAGAGCATAAAAGCCATTACGGCACCACATGATCATTGCTTTGGCAGAGGTATGTGTATGAATATCTGGGAGAACTGGCCCAGACCAGGGCTGGGAATTTTGGGAGGCTTGGGATAGCCCTGGTGAAAAGAAAGTTGTTTAAGGCAGGCTGCAGAGTAGACACCTCAGCTTCCTCCTCTGCTTCCGCCCCTCCTCTTCCCCACAATTCAGTTTCCCCAAGTCAATCTGCACACTGCAGAAGTCCTCTGGGGGAAAGAGCAGAGCTCTAAATAGGACCAGCCCTCCTGGAAAGACAGAAAGTCTAGATCTGAAGTCCTCACTTCTTTCTGGAAGGAAACCTCGCAGAGCAGATACCAAATTGCTCCCGCAAGAGGATCCGTAGAGAGAAAGGCCCCAGCTGCAGAGACCGTGGCCCAGCCGCAGCCCCCTGCATGTCTCGGGTCAAGCGGAGAAGTCAGGCCCTCCAAGTGGAAAGTCCAGGCTGGAGCGGGGCAGGCCCACCGCCTCCTATCTCTGCTGGCTGCCGCCACAATTGCAGAGCAGCTGGCGAGACCGCAAGCGTTCCTTCTCCCAGCAGCAGCCTGACTTGAAAAGCAAACCACAAACCCCTGGCCTGATGCCTGCTCACCCGCCTCACTCCCTGGCACCTTCCAACCAGGGGAGCCTGGAGCTCACGCGTGAAGTTGCAGCAGCAAGCAATCTGCCTCGCTTCTGGTGCCCACCGAAACCAAGGTCTGCCAGACAGCAGCGCTGGGACCTCTCCCCTCCCCAGCAGGATGGGCCGGCTCTGGAAGCACGAGGTGTTCCAAAGTGCAAACAAGCTGCTGTTAAATAATTATTCCCAAACGCCAAAGCCCTTGCTGGTTTGCTTGCTTGCTTTTTTCTTTTTTTGCCTCGCACAGATATCGCTAGGGCAGAGTATTGACATTTCGTTTTCTTTTTGTTATGGGTGATAAAGCACGGTGTTTCTTGTGAGTGTATGCCTGTATTTCCCTGCAGAGCTGGTTGCCAGTCCATTTTCTTCTATCCCATCCCCATCTTCCGTACAGTCCGATGACCTCCACAGAGGAGATCGGGATGTCTCTATGATGCCACGTCTCTGGATAGAGCTGGAGCAGGCATAAGAGAAATGCCAACTGCCAACCCCCCCCGCCACCCCTGGAAAAAAAAAAAAAAAAAACAAGAACAACAGGTTTCTCCCTAAAGCCTGTCCTCCAAAGTAGTCAAACCCTGATTAAAAAAAAAAAAAAAAAAAATTTAGCCGGGTGCGTTGGCTCATGCCTGTAATTCTAGCACTTTAGGAAGCTGAGGCAGGCAGATCACTTGAAGTCAGGAGTTCGAGACCAGCCTGGTCAACATGGCGAAACCCCATCTCTACTAAAAATACAAAAATTAGCCAGGCATGGTGGCATATATCTGTAATCTCAGCTATTCGGGAGGCTGAGGCAGGAGAATCGCTTGAACCCGGGAAGTAGAGGTTGCTCTGAACCGAGATTATGCCCCTGCACTCCAGCCTGGGCAACAGAGCAAGACTCCATCTCAAAAATTAAAAAATTTTAAGAAAAATAACTTTACACCAATCTGGAAAGAGATGCCTTGGCCAAAGCAGGTGAAATGGCCTACCATCATTTTCTCCCCAGATGTACCAAGTATTTCTCAGATTGATTAATTCCCCTTTGAAGCATCCCACTGAGGTCTGTCATAGCAGGTAGAATTAGCCTTGGCTTTTTTTCAAGGAAAGACTGGAGCACAGAGAGGTTAAGCCACACATCACTGGGTCACAGTGCTCATTGCTAGAAAAACCAAAGCTAGACCCAGATATTCCAAATCACTGGACAGCTTCAGCCATTCAACCCACTGACCCCAGCCAGTCCCTTGGGGCACTCTGAGGAGGGAAGGAATTACATCAGGGGGCAGAGGATAGGAAAGGAAAAACAATTCCAGCTTCTCTTGAAAGTATTTACATTCATCAAAGCTTTATGGTGAAGTCTTTCTGCAAGAAAAGCCAAAATACACACAAGAAAATAATACAGAGAGAGGCCTCTAGGGAGAAAATTACAAGGAAATCAAGTCCAATGGAGAAAAACAAAATGGCCTGCGTCTCAATGGGCTTGTCAAGTACTTGTTAACCTCTTTCTCCCTTTTCCCCTAGTAATGACTCTTAAGCCAAAGGAAGCTAAGAGGTTTTTGATGGGTTAAAAAGAGGCCATCCATTAAGGGGTCAAGGCCCGGTGCTCTGGGTATCTGTCACTGAATGAACCAAATCAATTTAGAGCTCGCGTTGTCTGACAATGAGGAAGACGCAATTGGCCGGAAGAACATCTTGATTCCATTAGGCCTGGCTGCAGAGAAGAATTAGCCATTGTCTCCTGTGCTGGGTGTGTGGCCATCTCTGAAGAAGATAGATGCCTCTTTCAGTGCAAGTGATGGAGGACATCCTCAGACCCATTTAGGAAGCCAGTGATCTGCCGTCATTGTTTGGGTATTTGGGAGGGCCTGATATGTTCCCATTATAGCCCACTCTGTTCTGTGTAAGACTGAGTCATCTTACAATGGGATACTTTTTTCGCAGGGTGAATGTTTTGAGATTAGAAGTCATAACAGGAAAATGGTCAAAACTGACTCTGGTCAAGATTGCAGTGGACGGAGGAATTGGCCAATAAGACTAGGAATAAACAACCCCAAAGAGAATACAGCAAACTCCAGCACAAACGAATGAATGGGGACCCTGGGTCCAACTTCTCCTTGCATTGTAAACAATCCAATTTCACAGAAAACAGTTTTTGCAATGCTCATGACACCATATGAGTTGTCTTTCAAAAAAACATTACACAAACCTGTACTTTGTGCTGATATGTGTTCAAAGTATTCATAACTTTTATGTTTTACTTGAACAATAATATTGGTATGTAATTGACGGAGGGGAATGTGTACAATCATAGCATTTCTTTTTTTTTTTTTTTTTTTGAGGGGGGAGTCTCACTCTGTCACCCAGGCCAGAGGGCAGTGACACGTCTCTGCTCACTGCAACCTCCGCCTCCCGAATTCAAGCAATTCTGCTTCCTCAGCCTCCTGAATAGCTGGGATTACAGATGCATGCCACCACGCCTTGCTAATTTTTGTATCTTTAGTAGAGACTGGGTTTCACCATGTTGGCCAGGCTGGTCTCAAACTCCTGACCTCAGATGATCCACCCATGTCAGCCTCCCAAAGTGCTGGGATTACAGGCAAGAGCCACTGACTGCACCAGTCTCATATTATTTCTTCAGCACTATGTACCAGGCACCATTTTAAGCATTTAACATATATTAATTCATTAGTACAGCAGCCCTATGAGAAAAGTGCTATTATTCCTATTATTTCAAAGATGAAAAAACTAAGGCACAAATTCAATTGCTGAGAATACACAGCCGGTAAGTGGCAGACAGTATGACGTTGAAAACCATGCTTTTAATCCATGCTATTCTATATTGTCTCCCATCGGTAGGAAATGTTTAACTCAAGCTACTTTATTTTTAAATTCCAAAGAATTGCAGCTTGACATTCTCTGGATTTACAATGCTGACCTTCAACCCATGCACAGAATGTAGGAATGCCCACACACCCCCTCGTTTTAGAGAGGACGAAGCTAAGATGGAGAGGGCTCTACAAAGTCAGAGCTAGAACTGAGGGCTCCTGACCTCCCACCCAGGGTTCTTGCTCCTAAAAATGAAAACCAAAACAATCAAGAGTAAACAAGAGTCATGAATACTGATTATTTGAGACAAAAGCATGAGATATATGTGAATGAGGCAGCGCGGCACTTCTAATTTTTTTTTTTAATTTTTTATTTTTGAGACGGAGTCTTCCTCTGTCGCCCAGGCTGGAGTGCAGTGGCATGATCTCCGCTCACTGCAACCTCTGCCTCCTGGGTTCAAGTGATTCTCTTGCCTCAGCCTCCCGAATAGCTGGGACTACAGGCGTGAGCCACCACGCCCAGCTAATTTTTTGTATTTTTAGTAGAGACAGAGGTTCACCATGTTGGCCAGGCTGGTCTTGAACTTCTGACCTCACGATGGGCCCACCTCTGCCTCCCAAAGTGCTGGGATTACAGGCATGAGCCACCATGCCCAGCCTGCAGTGCGGCACTTCTATAGAGTTTGTAAAGCCTGGTACAGAAACCAGAGATGGTTTCCATCTCTGGCTATAGGAATCATGGGTTCCTGTAGCATGAATACAGCTACTTTATGTATGTCTTGTCTTCCCAAGTAGATTGTAAGCTCGCTACAAATATAAACATGTATTAGGCACCATGTGTTTCCTCTTGCCTATGAGAACAGTCCAGTACAAAGTAGAAGACTACTACATGAATGGTTGGAAAGGGAATGGGAATTCAATGCTGCCTGAAACCCAAGGGCCTTGCCTCTGTCTTCTTTTTTTGTAAAAAGTAAAATATATTGAATGCCTAAAAAACTGATAGAAAAAAAAAAACCTCTGACATATGATTTCAACCCACTAAAAACATATACCTGGGCCAGGATGTTGGCTCACACCTATAATCCTAGCACTTTAGGAAGCCAAGGCGAGTGGATCACCTGAGGTCAGGAGTTCGAGACCAGCCTGGCCAACATGATGAAACCCCGTCTCTACTAAAAATACAAAAATTAACTGGGCATGTTGGTGGGAGCCTGTAATCCCAGCTACTTGGGAGGCTGAGACAAGAGAATCACTTGAACCCGGGAGGCAGCAGAGGTTGCAGTGAGCTGAGAACGTGCCACTGCACTCCAGCCTGGAGGATAGAGTGAGACTGTGTCTCAAAAAAAAAGTATATTTTATATATATATATATATATATATATATATATATGTATATTTTATATATGTATATTATATATGTATATTATATATGTATATTACATATATGTATATATTATATATGTGTGTGTATTACATATATGTATATATTATATATGTATATATATTACATATATGTATATATTATATATGTATATATATTACATATATGTATATATATTATATATATGTGTATATATATTACATATATGTATATATATTATATATATGTGTATATATATTACATATATGTATATATATTATATATATGTGTATATATACCTACTTCTGTTGCCCCTTAGAACCGGCTGTGCTCCAATAGCAAAACCTTACCAGGGCACATGGGATCCAGTCCTCTGAGAGCACAGGTTTGGAGCTTTCTGGGTGCTCTCACATTTTAAATTCCATCTGATTCGGGTTCAGTGACTCCTTTCTTTTGCCCTGCAGCCCTCTAGATGTGAAACAACTCATTTGTATTTGCTGAAAATGTAAATCCGTCTAAAGATTTGCAAGTGCCAGTCTGCTCTAGAAAGTAAAAAGGGCAGAAATGAAATAAGGAAGTGAGTTTTTCAGTTTGTATGTTTTCTTCTGAGCTTGGAGATTATTCCTGTCCATGAGTCTAATTCTTCTTATATAGAGACTCAGAACAAGAAGCTTGAAACAACTTTGTTCTCGTTCATTGTCAGAGCTTCATGGTGTGTTAGAAAGAGCCCAGGACCAGAAGTCACAAGATGTGGGTCCCATCATCAATTACTTATTTAACCTCTGCCAATCCCTTAACCTCTCTCTACTGGGGTTACTTTATCTGTGCAAGGAGGAGGTGGACCAGATGGCTGCTGTGATTCTGTGTAATAGCCCCCCTGGATGAAACAGGAAGTTACTCATAGGGAGATCATTAAGAAGCTTGGTGACTCAGCCTCAGGGGCAGCGGGGGAAGACGAGGTTCTCCAAAGTCCTAGTCAAGCATCAGAGCCACTAGACTGAGCTTCCTCTCAAGCGTCTATTTCCACATCGTCCTGGGAGCTTGCCCACCACTCCACATGCAGTCCCAGCTCTCCATAAATGCTGGCTGGGGAGGAAGTCCAGTGGAGCCAAAGCCCCTTCCTCTGCCCCAGCCTTCAGCTAAATACAGGATGTGGGAATCCAGCAGGCCATCTAATAGAAACCAGTAACTGGTCCCTGCTCATTAAGTACTTAGAGTGGACCCTGTTGCATTCAGGTCTCAAAGGCAGTATTTATTACCCACTTTTGTTTGCACTCCGTGGATAAGTGTTTCCCACCTCCTGTTTTCATACATGAAGATACTGAGGCCCAGAACAGGGAAGTGGAGGACCTGTGATCGCATTGGGAGTCACGGCAAGTCTAGGTCAGAAACTAAGAATCCACATCCAGTATCAGCCAGTCCCAACAACAGGGACAGACATAGTCTCAAGGAAGCCACTACTTGGTGGTTTCCTCTAAGTTTTGTTTCACGCAAGTCCAGATCATCCAGGCTGTTTTTTTTGTTGTTGCTCTTTTTTTTTTTTTGAAATGGAGTCTCACTGTGTTGCCCAGGCTGGAGTGCAGTGGTAAGATCTCGGCTCACTGCAACCTCCGTCTCCTGGGTACAAGCGATTCTCCTGCCTCAGCCTCCGGAGTAGTTAGGATTACAGGCGCGTGCCACTACACCTGGCTAATTTTTAGTAGAGATAGGATTTCACCATGTTGACAAGGCTGGTCTCGAGCTCCTGACCTCAAGTGATCCCCCAACCTTGGCCTCCCAAAGTGTTGGGATTACAAGCGTGAGCTACCATGCCTGGCCCAGGCTGTCCTTCATCACAGTTGTCGTTGTGTTTTAGTCTTTGGAGTATGGAAAGCATTGAGTATTGAAAGCTACTGAGTATTGAAGCATTGCTGTATAGAAAACTAGAGGAAGCCAGGACTCCAAGGATAGAAGGAAAGAATACTTGTTATCATTTACCGTATAAAAGGAAAGCCAGGCCATGGTGCAGGATGAAAAAGATTTGCTTTTTTACTTTCTACTTACAGTCATATTGTAGCTCATTTGTAAAAATCATTCCACTTGTAAAGTTAACCATCCATTAGTCAGTAAGAGCTGTTCCCACTAATTGGTGGACTCCTGGGGAAAGCAACATAGTTAGAGGTTAGAGTAATGGACCAGGTGCCCTTGACTTCTATTTCTGGTTCCTTCACTTACTTGCTGTGTGGCCTTAGGCAGTTTTCCTTAATTTCTCTGGGCCTTGTTTCACCCAAGAAGTAAATTTCCCACTTGATCTTCTTGAGGGATGCCAAAAGATCAAAGGAACGATGTTTGCAGGGCTTTTTAAAGATGCTTAAGTGACGTGCACTAGAAACCCCTTGATTTAATAGGTATGAATTAATACATTCTTTGATTATTGGTAGAACTAAGTATTTTAGCTTTTTAATTAGCTCCTTGGATATAATTGGCCATAGGCGTTACACAAATCCCTAAGGGAACCGGCCCAGTCATCCTGATGATCATTATGGGTGCCTGCTGTGTTTTTATGCGGAGAGGCAGAGTGTGTTGGCAGCTTTACATGGTGGTGGGTTATGACGGCTGCACTGAGCCAGCGCAAGCTCGGGAGGCTCCCCTGAGGTGGCGCAGACCATCGGGGCTGCCCCGAAACCAGCTCAGTCAGAGCCCACCTTACCCTGTTTACAAAGGGGAGGCAAGGTGGAGCATCTCCTGTTTGTTGATTTGATTGTTGTGTTTGCTCTGCCAGCCTCAGAGTGAGGTATTTAACAGGCAGGACTTCTAAGCCTCAAGGGCCCATGGGCAGAAATGCCCCAGACCCCATGAAGAAAATGATGCTTTTCCAGCAAGCTGCACCCCGGCCCTGGGCAAGGGGCAGCTGCTTCCACCCTCCTGGTCCCTACTGCCTTCATATTCCTGCTCCCTAGCTCACCCCCTCCCTCCTAAGTGAAGAGAAGTCAGATCAGGCTACTGTTCTGACATGCACACCTTCTCTTCTGTTCCTGGGACCCTTTTGTTTTTGTGTTTGTTTTAAGAAGGAGCCTTGCTGTGTCGCCCAGGCTGGAGTACAGTGGCATGATCCTGGCTCACTGCAACCTCTGCCTCCCGGGTTCTAGTGATTCTCTTGTCTCAGCCTCCCAAGTAGCTGGGACTACAGGTGCCCACCACTACACCCAGCTAAATTTTGTATTTTTCGCAGAGACGGAGTTTTGCTATGTTGGCCCAGGCTGGTCTCAAGCTCCTGACCTCAAGTGATCTGCCCACCTCAGCCTCCCAAAGTGCTGGGATTCCAGGCATGAGCCACCATACCCAGCCCATTCCTGGGCCCTTCTAATGTCTCAACGCAACAATCTGATCCTGAAAACCACCCATCCCTTCACTTTACTCTTACCCTTCCTTCCCAGGATTGCATTTGCAAAACAAAAATTCATGCTTAAAGCAAGCATCAGGGGGAATCCATTGTTCTGCACCCTGCCACAAAAATGTCTAGTGCATCATCCCGGGGATAGGCCTGGGAGCCGGGACTCCATGGTTCGCAGCCAAGGGCAGAAGCTGGAGGCAGGGCCTTCCCACGGGCAGCTACAGCAGCCACAGACGGGGCCATGCAGCAGAGTCCAGATGGTTTTGTTCGGGCTCTTTGGCAGACGCGCAGTTCTCCACGCTGAACTGCATCAGGGAGCACTTAAAGCAAAGCTTGGTTTGTGTTTTATTTTGCATGGAATGGGGGAGACAGGAGTTGCCAGGGAAACAACCCCTCGGAGCATTCTGCTCTGGGGTTCTTCATCGGGTGGGGAGGGGGGCTTCCCATGAAAGGCACAGGGGTTTTCTCAAGCGTGCTCACACCTGGTTCTGCTTTCTTTCCTTCTCTTGGAGGGCTTGAGGGTTCCACCTCCCAGGCCTGCCCATTAGGCTGGCAGGCACCTTACCCCACAGAGCCTGCCAGCACCAGTACATGCCAGGACCTAAGGCCAGGATCAAGTCCACAATGAGCAGGGCCCAGTGCAAAATGGAAATGCAGGGCCCCTTGATCAAACCCATTAGGTGGGTTCAGTGTACACTGCTCAGGGGATGGGCACACCAAAATCTCATAAATCACCACTAAGGAACTAATTAACCAAATACCGCCTGTTCCCCAAAAACCTATGGAAATTAATTTTTTAAAAAGCGTATAGCAACAAGACAAAAAAAAAGAATAAAGATATAAAGAAAGAAAAAAAAACCTGTTAGGAATTTCAAGATATCAACAGCAGAGCAGGAAATCAAGCCAAGGACCTTCTGAGCAAAGGGCCCTCAGGTCGCACACCCAGAAGGCCGATCCTGTTCAAGACTTCACTTTGCCTGAGCAAGGCGGGTGCAGGATAGCGGCTGAGGGACCGCCGTGGTATGCAGCCAACAGGACCCTTTCATTGAAGTACCATCCACATCCCTTACGTGAGAGGAGGGGAGAGGCACTGGGAGAAAAATTCTCTGTATTTAAGGATTTGCAGCACACACATATTTTTTTTTTTAAATCCAAAACTCAGGGCTTGAGTTAGGAAATCTAAGAAAAGAATGATTCTGGTTGTTCTGGAGTTACTCTCTTTTAATCTGCAAGGATTTGGGAGAAGTAAGAGCATTTGGGATTCATAGTAAGATCTAAGGTCACTTTGTGCCGGTACTGTGCTACGATCTGTGGCTGCTGAGATCTACCTTAGAGGGGTTATTTTTGCCATTTTACAGAGGGGAAAACTGAGGCTAAAGGAAATGCTGTAACTTGTGTCAGGTCCAGCAGCTTAGAGCCTGAGTTGGGTGCGGTGGCTCACGCCTGTAATCCCAAAATTTTGGGAGGCCGAGGCGGGCAGATCACTTGAGCCCAGGAGTTGGAGACCAGCCTGCCCAACATGGCAAAACCCCATCTCTACTAAAAAATACAAAAATTATCCAGGTGTGGTGGCATAGTCCTGTAATCCCAGCTACTTGGAAGGTTGAGGCACAAGAATCGCTTGAACCCGAGAGGCAGAGGTTGCAGTGAGCCGAGATCGTGACACTGCACTCCAGCCTGGGGGACACAGTGAGAGTCTGTCTCAGAAAAAAAAAGTAGTGGAGCTTGGATTCAAACAGATGTAGTCAGACCACAAAGCCTGCCTGCCTGACCGCTTTGCTCAGTGTACTGCCCCCAGGCTATGAGGCCAATGTCGTGGAACCTGTTCATTCTGGTATTTTTGTAGCTCTGGCTAAGTTCAGGTGGAATGTCGCTGAATATATAATACCTGGGGACCAGAGAGGAAATTTGGGTGTTTTAATGGAAGGATTTATAGTGGCCAAGCATCAGACAGGACCATGAGACCTGGGTCTGTGTATTTTAGTAATAGACTCCGCTAAGGCGCTGTTGAATCTCTGACACAAAGCTGTCAGCCAACATAGAGCTTTGGGCCATTTGCTTTCCTTGCAGTGTCTCTCCACCCACCTGGAGTTGATGCTTAACAAGAAAGAAAAATACAATTTCCTTGGGCTTCAGAGTGAAATGCACTCTGAGCCGGGGACAAAAGAGGCAACTCTGTAATAAGAGATAATAGATATTCTCCTTCCCAGTACTTAACGCAGACAAAATAATTGTAAAATTCCAGAGAGCAGATTGTGAGGATAAAAGAATGTGGCCATTCCAGAAGCAGTTTTTATTCCAGCCCAGTTTTATATGGGGTGCTAGGTCCACTAGCCAACCATTGACTAGCAGTGTCCCCAGCCTGGGAAGACAGGGTGGGTCAGATACAGGAAATGGCCATCACGTCTCTAAGGTGGGCAGAACATGAGCAGGTCAGAGAGGGTCAGGAGCCTGAGGTCCGAGGACTCTGGGGTAAGACCCTGAAAAGCATTTAACTCAGTGGCCAGAGAAAGGGGGGAGCCCAGGGAAGCTGTTCCCCGCAGAAAGACAAGAACAAGATTCCTACTTTACCCCTTCTTTCCGCAAAATAAACCGAAATTCCCAGTATGTGGAAGGTGATGCAGTAACCAGCAAATATTAATGCAAATGTGTGTGCACACAAGTTGAACCTCCTGTGATATTTCCCAGAGGGTTAAAGTAACTTTCTTTTTCATCCAATGAAAGGAACCCCGTTCCTGGAGCAATTGGATGCAGCCCTAATTACTTCCAAACATTACAGTCAGCTTCTCAGTTAACGAGCTCACTGGTCCGAAGGAGGAATGACCGCCAGGGCCCCTTCATTCCACTTCTCACCCTCCCTGGCCAAGCTTGAGGGAGAGACTCTGGCCGCAGCGTCCTTCCGGGCGACAGAACTCTTGGTTTTCTTTGTGCTGCAGCAAGAAGAATGGGCTTGACAGGCTCACACTGTGATCTTGAGTTGCCTGCCCCCGAAATAAGGTCCCAGCCTCCTCCGCCCTTTGCAAGGCTCTTACACATTAGTGAGCAGGAAGTGGAGTCCCGATGGGAGGCTGGGAATTTGAACGCCTTCCCATTTCAGCACTGGAGGGGAGGAAGCTCAGTTCAGCACTCCACGCAGATGGCTACCGCTCCCTCCTGAGCGCTCGCTCCTCTCGCTCCTCTCCCCTCACCCGCCGCCTTCCCTGCTGGGTCCCTCTCCCCGGTCTCCACCTCTCCTCCCTCTCCTGGAAGGGAAAAGTCTGCCAAGCTGGGGACTGCCACGACCAAACCAACAAAGGCCGACCGAAGGCGGAGAACTTGAAAAGAACTTGTTTTGTTCCAGTTAAGGAACCTGCAGGAAAATCCACACCCACATTGCCTGGTTTTGAACTGGAGAGCTGCGTGTGTGTGTGTATGTGTGTGTGTGTGTCAAGCAAGAGGCGGAGGAGGCACAGACTACGGTCTCTGTTTTGATAAGGAAACTGCCAGCTGTCGAAAGTTAACCAGCAGAGAGGGGAAGATGGCCCAGGAGCCAGCCCCTCCTGAGTTTTAAACTACACTGTTTTCTGTCCAGATATTCCAATGGAGACAGTTGGAAAACCTGTACTTCAGAGAAAAGAAGTTTTCCGTGGAAGTTCATGACCCACGCAGGTAAGCTTGAAAAGTCCTTTTCTTGCGGGATGGCGTGGCTCTCGGCCGGGCGTGTTATGGATATTATTTTGGGGCTGTCGTTGTTCATGGTCAGTTTGGAGCAGGGAGCGAGGGTGGGGGCTCCTGGGGAATGGAGCTCAAATCAGACAGTGAAACTTTCTTTTCAATTACATGTGTTGATAAATGCAGTGGGTTCGCACGTGTGTGTAAGTAGCAATCCCCTGACTGTCTCATCTGGCCACATGTGTCCCTGGCTCGTGTGTGTGTGTGTGTGTGTGTGTGTGTGTCAGTGTATGTGTTTGTCTTACCTGCCGGGGCACTGGAAGGAAGCTTTATAGCACTTTGTAACACACACCAGTAAGTCCCCATAGGAAACTTTTGCTATAGAAGAGTCTGAAGAATCCCTCATTAGAGCTTCTAAAAGTATTTCAGGCAGGACGGTCAATGCGAAAATGAATTTGTCACCAAAGCAGTTGTGCTACGTTGTTTTATTCCAGGAGCTGTAATTTTAGGATGTTAGTATTGTGGGTGGATGTGAAAGAAATGAAATTATTTTTCCCTCCACCCAAAATCGTACCCCAGAGAGCACCAGGGTTGTAAAAAGTCCCTGTACTCTTAAGTCAGATGCAAGACAGTGGGGCCCCAGGTTGGAATGCAGGGAGCCCCAGGTGGCTGGGGTCTGGGCAGCTCATACCCACTGTTTTCCTCTCTTTGTCTGCCGCTGGACCTAAAGTTATATGCATCCCCAAAAACAGCAGCGTAATTCCCTAAAACCAGGCCTGACAACTAAGAAATCACTTTCCATAAGGTCAGAGACATTTACAATAAGAAGGTAGCCCCAGGGAGACAGAAAAAAGATCAGACTCTACAGAGGAGCAAAAGTGGGTTTTAGGCGCTGTTGACGCTCCAGCCCTGGGCTTAGAAGGAGGACTTGGCACCAATTCCAGCTCACACATGGCTTCTGATGCTCAAAACAAGCTGCAGTCCCTCCCCATGAGCTCTGGACAGGAGGGAGATTTGGAGTTACCCCGCCCAGTGAGAGGGCTTGGACCTGTGCAGTAGCCCCTGTTCCTGCAGCCCATGATAACCCGGTAGGAATGAAGCCGTGCTTGCCCTCCAGGGTAATCTGCCTGAAACAGCCACTCCTGTGTAGGGCAAGAGCTTATCTCAGCACCACGGTTACTACAGGAATAGTTAGTGGAGAGCAGCTGAGAGTTTCTGCATCTCCACAGTCAGGTGAAAATGGTAGCCTTTAACAGAAAAATATTTTATCCGGTGTTTCTCAGGGCCCTGCAAGGGGTTTCGCGGCCAGAAGCCCCACTCCATGGAGCACAGATCCATCTGTGCAGGCCAAGTGGGGTGGGCGGGGAGATTTCAAAAATAAGATTCCAGCCAAGAAGAAACTCACTGTTCATTTTCCAGGTGAACTGAATTGGACCAGGTTCTTAGGCATGTAAGAGAGGGGAAATTTAAGTACAGAAAGAGTGAAATGAACTTTGCCACAATGGGTCAGATGCAGAAAGGGGATGCTCCATAGGATAAAAATGAGGGGCTGGGTAATCTAAGGGGCTGAGCGCAGGGAATAGACCCTCCGCCATGCCTGTGCTCTGCTGGGAATTCAGTGAACACCCAGGCACCTTGGACAAATCCTTTAACCACGCACGCATATATCTGCACATGTGTGTTCGTGTTCTCTGTGCGTCTGTCGCCCTATTGGTGAGTACTGCTAAACTCTCTTTACCAAAGCCCAGGGATATAGGAAAGAATCTAGATCTCACACGTGACTATTCAGTGGGCCTGTCGCCTATTAGACAGCAGTGATCAATGTCATGTTTCTTGCGAAGCTTCTGTGTCCTTGTCGGGTGCTGTGGCGGGGAAGGAAGGAAGTCGGAGGCAGGGTCTTCTTCCTTAAAGATCTTCTAGTGTAACTGAGAAGACAGGCAGAAGAAGGAACTTTTATTTTGAGACACGGTCTCATTCTGTCGCCCATGCTGGAATGCAGTGGTGCAATCATAGCTCACTGCAGCCTCCACCTTCCAGGCTCAAGCAATTCTCCCACCTCAGCCTCAGCCTCCCGAGTAGCTGGGACTATAGGTACACACCACCGTACCCAGCTTTTTTTTTTTTTTGGAGAGACTGGGTCTCACAGTGTTGCCCAGGCTGGTCTCAAATTCCCAAGCTCAAGCAATCCTCCCATCTTGGCCTCTCAAAGTGCTGGGATTACAGGCGTGAGCCACTGCCTGGAACCTGGCTGAGAAGAAGGAACTCATGGAGTGTCACAAGAAACAAAGAAACCTGCTCTAGACGACAAGTAGCTAGTATACAGGAGAGGCAGGATTTGAACCTAGGAGGTCTGGCTCCAGAGCTCATGCCCTTTATCTCTATACTGTACAGAAGGGCCAGACGTCGTGGGCCATGAAGGGTGAAGGACAGGGTCACCAGAGGCCTGGCTGGTCAGGAAGGGAGAGGCTTACCAGGAAGGAGAGGTCTGAGTTGGACCTGGAGGGGTAACTAGGATTAAAGCCACGTGGTAGGGCCTCAGGGGGATATAGATGTCAGGTGGGGGCTTCTCAATTAGGATAAACAAATGAGGGAGGGTCTGGCTGGAGGGAAGTGGGAGTTGGAGGAGCCCAGAGGAAGAAGCAGAGCTGTCTCGTCCCAGGCAAACTCGCTCTGAGTACACTGAGTTAGCCTGCAGACAGGCAGGAATGGGGGAGAGGCCCAGGGAGGCCAGAGGTGGAGACCCGGGATGACTTCAGCATTAAAGACACACAAGGAAAGGAAATGGCTTCAGGTCAGTTATTTAGCATGGCAGAGCCAGAGCTATGAGCTGTAAGATCTTTCTTGCACTCAGTTCTCTTTTTCACATCCTAGTGGTGCCTTTTTTCTCTTGTATTGAGAGTTACTATTTCACGTATTCATGAGCCACGTGTGAGTGCGTTACATGCATAGAACATGGAATGATCAAGGCAGGGTACGTGGGGTATCCATGGCCTTGAGTGTTTTTTTGTTTGTTTGTTTGTTTTGTTTTTTGAGACAGAGTCTCACTTTGTCCCCAGGCTGGAATGCAGTGGCGCCATCTCGGCTCACTGCACCCTCCACCTTCCAGGTTCAAGCAATTCTCCTGCCTCAGCCTCCCAAGTAGCTGGGACTACAGGCGTGCGCCACTACACCCAGCTAATTTTTTTATTTTTAGTAGAGATGGGATTTCATCACGTTGGCCAGGATGGTCTCAATCTCTTGACCTCGTGATCCACCCGCCTCAGTGTTTACTATTTTTATGTTGGTATCATTGCAAGTCCTCTCTTCCAGTTACTTTGAAGTGAACCTCGCGGTGCTTTTTAAGTTGAATGTGTCATCCTATTGCTTGTGGCCTTGCTTATTTGAGGTAGGGAAGAGGAATGTGATTGGCCTCACGTTAGTTTGGTGTTCCGGGCTCAGCCCCTCCCCCAAGCCAGGAAGGCAGTCAGAACTGCAGTAATAGGATGGGCAACGCCAGATACGGTCATTTAATGAAGATGTAATCGATGGGAATGATTCAGGGCAGAGGCTGCTTTCTGGGCCGATGGGCTCAGGTGTGATTGCACCATTCCCTGTGGGGCACTGGACAACACTGTGCACTTTCTCCCCCTGGGCATCCTAACTCAATGCTTAGCTTCATTTCTGAGCTTCTCCAGGCTGGGCCAATATTTCACTTCTACGGTTTGGGTAAAATAGGAAGGGCTTGAAGCGAAAGATGAGGAGAGGAGATAAAGTAATGATAGAGCAGGAGAAGAACTCTGAGTATCTGATTTAGATGCTCCGGGGAACTACCCGGACCTGACCAGCCACTTACCTCTTCTGCCCTCCCGGTACCTGAGAAATGGAGGTACCTAGCCTTGCACCACCTTTCAAGATACTGTTCTTGTCTAATTCAGCTTTTCTGGGGGGAAAAAAAAGTCATTCATTTATTTCCAAGAGCAAGAACTGCTATGGAAGCCAAGCTGGGAGCACAGATCCCTGTTTTCTTTTAAATTTAGAGAGACTGGCGAGGGATCTCCCCCTCGCTCTCTCCCTGGCTCCTTTTTTCAATTATTTTCAACTGTGTGCTCTTTCACGCTCTGGCTTTTTTTTTTTTTTTTTTCCTTCACTTTTGTTGGAACCGAAGGGAGAAAAAACCTGTGTGGACTCAGTAACATTAACCACCGGATCTGAATTTCTCCTTAAAAGTGAGGGTGAACAAGACTCCACTTTAAATCTTTAGCACCCCCGACCCCCGCCCAAAGTAAGATATTGCTGGCAGCTTTGTTTTCTTTAAGGGAAAATTAGCCATGAAAAAAAATGTTATTGTTTGTAAGTCCTGATTACCCCCAGGTTTCTTCCAAATTAGATATGTTAGTCTTGAGAACATACATTTTGTTTCTGATGTCCATGTAAAATGCCCCAAATCCCAGCCCACCTTCCTGTCAACTTGTCTCACATGCATGCGCACACACACACACACACACACACACACATGCAAACACACATTCTTAGATTTCATTTGCAAAATAATCTGCCTATCCTATAAAATATACTTCACTAAGAGCATGACCATATAACTCCCCCTAACTCCATGAATGTGGAGATGAACAGTTCCCGTTTTCACTTTTAAAGTCTGATTACTCCATGTAGATTTAAAAATGTATAGACAGGGCCAGGTGCGGTGGCTCATGCCTGTAATCCGAGCACTTTGGGAGGCCGAGGCAGGTGGATCACCTGAGGCCGGGAGTTAGAGACCAGCCTGATGAAACCCTGTCTCTACTAAAAATACAAAAAAGTAGCCCGGAGTGGTGGGGGGCATCTGTCATCCCAGCTACTTAGAAGGCTGAAGCAGGAGAATTGGTTGAACCTGGGAGGTGGAGGTTGCAGTGAGCTGAGATCTTGCCAGCACGCTCCAGCCTGGGTGACAGGGCAAGACTCCATCTGAAAAATATAAATGAAATGTATCGACAGACGTTGGGGGAATTGGGGCTGGGCACATTTCTCTCTGCCTTTCTTCTCCTGATTCTTTATACCCTCCCTGCCCTCTGAATAGATTGGAAATTGATCACCAAATCTTCAAGGAACATTGGGTTAGTTATATAAGAAGTCCCAATTCCCTGGGACGCTGTAGCCTGTGGTGATTAGAAAATAATTTACTCATCCCCACCGTAGGCACATTTCCTGTCTCATAGGGAGCATCATTGAAGGTTTTCCTGTCTGCGAAGTTTGTCTTGGCCCAGTGCCAAGTCCAGGATCGAAAAAGGACCATCCATTGACCTAGAATGACCCATCTTATCCCAGACAAGGCCGAGGCTTGGCCAGATTCTGAACTCTAGGGAGTCAGAAAATCAGAAGGTGGCCTTTGCCCAGCCAATGATGTCTGTAAGCTGTGTGCGCATGTGTGTGTGTGTACGCCTAGGTGTATGTGAGAGCTCATCTATCATCTTTACGCCAGGGCTTCTAGGACGCAGTGGGTTCTCTACAGAAGCTGTTGACTGAGAAATGGTTTCTCTCAACAGAAATGGGATTGAACCTTGTGATTCTTGCTTCCCCAGGGCTTCAGTGACAAGGAGGACGTTTGGGCACAGCGGCATTGCAGTGCACACGTGGTATGCATGTCCGGCATTGATCAAGTCCATCTGGGCTATGGCCATAAGCCAACACCAGTTCTATCTGGACAGAAAGCAGAGTAAGGTGAGTGACCAGACCTCTCACCAAGCCCGGGCCATTGTCTGCCTCTCTTAGTTTAGGAATGAGGATCGGATGGGTGGGGGAGGCGCCATGTCCCTTGCCCGGGTCCATACCTTGCACAGATACAGGCTTGCCTCTTAGGGCTACAGATGGGAGGGATGAGACTAGCTCTTCAAGAGGGCACATTCCATGCATCTTGGTCCAGGGGGCTCTGACCACCATCAGAGCCGCTCAAGCCGCTGACTGCAGCCAGGTAGGCCCCTTTTGAGGAATTCCCACTGTGCTTTTGGCCCTCGGGAGAATCCTCTAGCAGCGTGAAGGCAAGCCCTTTTTGGTGTTTAAACAGTGGTATACTATCTTCCTTTTGAAAAGAAAAAAGGAATCTTTCTCAACGAATAGACACCACCTAACTGTTTAGGGTAATTGCTGTGAAAACCCTCAGGCGGTTCCAACTGCCAACTCCATTTTTTTTTTTTTAATGCAAAACTGGAAACGTTAAAAAAAAAAAAAAAAAAAAAAAAAGCAACTACCCTGTTTCCCTAAGGTAGACCTAGAGCCTGGGGCCTTGGTAAACAGACTTCCTCCAAGGAGATGTCACCACCCCTGACTCTGGGCACGCAGCTGCGTTTTCTGGTGGGTGAGAGGATGACGTCTCCTTGGTTCACACAGGGCTTATATCAACACTCTGCCCCCTCTTCCTCCAGCCCTGTCTCCCCAGACTCCCCTGTCAGCCCCCCACAAGCCACTCCCATTCATTCTCCCTCAGGGGAAGAGCCCTGCCAAGATGGCCCTGCAGCTTCTCTCAAGATCCTGCTGGCTTGGGCTGGGGGAATACAGACTGAGGTCACCCTGGGCCCCTGGGCTAGTGGTTTCTAGCACTTACGGAGGATTTCCCTCCATCGCGTGAGTTCTTGGGAGAAGGTGGCAAGATGCTCAACTTACTGGGCACAAGAGTCACTGAATCGGTGCCCTCTAGGGTTCTTTCTCTTTTGCCATCTTATCCATATTTTAAGGGGTTTCTCTTTTTCTGGGGAAGAGGAGAGTGAGCGAATTGGGGGTCAAGGGGGAGGTGATAAGAGAAAGAAAAGAGGACAGGGCTGGGCACAGTGGCTCACATCTGTAGTCTCAGCGCTTCGGGAGGCCAAGGCAGGAGGATCACTTGAGCTCAGGAATTCCAGACCAGCCTGGGCAACATAGTGAGACCCCCATCTCTACTAAAAGAAAAAAAAAAGAAGAAAAGAGGACAGGACGAAATGAAACAATCCCTTTAGTCATAATTCAGTTTTAAATTGGGGTCTGTCCCCCGCAGCCGTCATTTTATCCTTTGTAAAATATCTTGTCCTCTACTTTCTGACCCCCTTTTTGGTCATTTTCTGGGATGAATGAGCGCAGGACAGAGAATTTCTGTTGTTAGGAATAATGACAGTATTCTCCGCAGCTCTCCTGGCAGTGATGGGTCCTAGTCCTAGCGCAGGAATTTGAAGCTCGATTAGATCAAAAGAAATGGGGCCAAAGTGTTTTTGACTCATGCTCGATATTGACACAGTGGGTGGGTGTCAGGGTTTTGCTGTCCAGGGGCAACAGTTGGAGGTCGACACCTGAGAACGTTAATTTCACCCTCTGTGGTTGGGTGATGGATGGTGGGGGTTAGGGGATTGGGCAATGCTCCTGAACCCCACTGCCAGTTCCCCTTGACGGCAGACCCCCCACGCACTGTACCACAGTGTGGACAGAGGAAAAGGTGTATCTCGCCCTGAGGATAGCACAGCATTGGCTGTTCAAGCTCCTCCTCTCTGCGCCGGTTTTTGCATAGGCGGTCTCTTGAGCATTTCAAGAAACTTGTTCTTATGGCTTTCCTGCTGCACCCGGGAAGATGGGCTCATTCTGCAGTTGGCAAGCCTTGTTGTTGAACAGGCTAACAGGTCAACTCACTGACACAGCAAGTATATCTCAAAAGGAAATTATTGGCCGGCCGCCATGGCTCACGCCTGTAATCTCAGTACTTTGGGAAGCCGAGGAGAGCAGATCACTTGAGGTCAGGAGTTCGAGACCAGCCTGGCAAACATGGGGAAACCCAGTCTTTACTAAAAATACAAAAAAAAAAAAAAAAAAAAAAAACAATAACCAAGCATCGTGGCAGGCATCTGTAATCTCAGCTACTAGGGAGGCTGAGGGAGGAGAATTGCTTGAACCCAGGAGGCAGAGGTTGCAGTGAGCTGAGATCACACCACTGCACTCCAGCGTGGTTGACAGAGTGAGACTCCATCTCAGAAAAAAAAAAAAAAAAAGATTATTGTAGATAAATTAGCAACAAGACGTGTCTTTTAGGAGGTAAAACCAAATGCCCCATAGCATTAGGAATGTTTCAGCTGTCCCTTTTGTAAAAGTAACCCTTGGGGACTGAAGAAAATGCCCACGCTCCCAGAAGGAGAAGGAGAACATTTCCCAGGAAGCCTGGCATGCTCACAGATGTCCTAGAGCCCTCACACTTCTCACAGGAACCAGTTCCCCAGCCTGCAGTGACAGGTGAGGATCACAACCCTCTATGTGGGAATTGGAGGCCTCTGTTTTCCAGCTCTGGGACCCCGGGTGGGTCTTTCATCCTTGGTGTTTTGCTTTCCCCAATTAGCAGCAAAGGAAATTCCTGACCTCAATTAGTGATTGGTCAGATGGCACCACGTTTGTGAAATTGCTTGAGGAAATACGTGCCATCTTTTACTAATGTCATAGTTAATCTAGCATACTATCACTGGCCAACACTTGCATGAAGTTTAAATTCTCTAAAAGGCCCGCAAATTAAATCAGAGATGATGACGTACCCTTTGGGAATTACATTACAACACCTTTCTGTTTCTGGAATGTTCTTTATAGAACAGCGATGTGATTGATCTCTGATGGGCAGCACGGCCTCTGGGTGAGTGATGGCCGACAGGGCTGGGACAGAGAGCTTCATAACATTTCTAGGCAGCCAGTTCTGGCTGGTATCCTGGCCACTGCTCACACTCTACTGTACTGGGACATGCCAACCATTCCTTTCTCTGAAGAGCTTCAGCAAAGCCCAGGCCTCCCAAATGATGTTTATCAACCCTAGAGAGACAAGTGAGGTCTAGTGGTTCGAGTCAGCAAGGGTAGGGAGCCATGAGGGTTCAGGTGCTCCCCTGACACTCGGGTTTTTTCTTCTTTCAGGGTCACTGTGCAAATCATTTAAGGAAATCTCTCCTTCTTTCTCTCTGCCTGTCTCTCCCTCCCTCCCTCCATCAGCTCTCCATGCATATACATCAAGAAACCATTCTACGATCTAAGACAGGGCGGAGGGAGGCTGTGCTGGTTGGTTATTTGTAGCTCCTTCAGAATGAGAAGCTGCACAGGCACCAATTATAATTGGTAACTTCTATGCTGACCCCAGAGATCAGAAACGTTGTCTGCTAGATCCCAGCAGCCTCTGAAGCCCAGAGCCAAGGAACGTCTTAGAGACTTTGCAGGAAAATATTTGAAAGTTCAAAATGTTTAGAGTCGACATTAGACACTTTTCCCTCTGAACTCAGAGTGGGGACTTCTTGAATTGGCCCCCAATCCAAACGTCTTTCCTTCTTCCTAATCTTTTTTTTTCTCTCCCTGATGCAGTTCACCATTTTATTTAGAGTCAAAGGCAGAGTCAAAGGGGGACAGGGACATTGAAGCTTTGTTCCCACAATATCAGACAGAAGACTGAGTCACGTGTATCAGCCAAGACTCCCAGACCAAAATGTTCCAGAGTCTGGGGACTCCTTAAGGTCAGCCCAGAGACCTGACTTTGCAAAGAGAGACTCTCCCCGACAATGCCCATGTCCTCCCGGTCCTCTCCCCACCGAGTCTGTTAGGTCGCTGTGATATTTTCCATTCTAGAAAGAATCCGGACCGGGCGCAGTGGCTCATGCCTGTAATCCCAGCACTTTGGGAGGCTGAGTCGGGCAGATCACCTAAGATCAGGGGTTTGACACCAGCCTGGCCAACATGGCAAAACCCCGTATCTACTAAAAATAGCCAGGCGTGGTGGACCACATGTGTGGTCCCAGCTACTCAGGAGGCTGAGGGAGGAGAATCGCTTGAACCCAGGAGGCAGAGGTTGCAGTGAGCTGAGATCGTGCCACCGCACTCCCCCAGCCTAGGCAACAGTGTGAAACTCTGTCTCAAAAAAAAAAAAAAAAAAATCCAGTAGTTTGCTAAAGCTTCCATAAGGCTTCCAGGAATCTAGTCTCCTTTAGGAAGGATGCCTTTTGATCTCATATTTTTGTTTTAAGAATGATGTGTGGCAAGAGTTCTGGTATGACAAGGGGGATAAGTTTTTCATGTGATTAATGAGGTCCCCAAAATATCTGGTTGGGCCATCAATCTAACCTCAGTTAGCAAATTACAGCCAGGCCCTAATGCAGATCCTATTCTTATTACGATGGCCTTTACATAAATTATCTACTTTAGTTATCACAACTCTGGGATGTGGGTTTTAAGACCTCCATTTTACAAACATGTATCTGAGAATCAGGAAGGTGAAGGGTCAAAGTCCGATAGTGATTCACTGGGAAGAGCCAAGATTCTAATTCAGGTCTTTTTTTTTAGACAGTCTCACTCTAGCACCCAGCCTGGAATGAGATCAGGCAGTGGCGTGATCTCAGCTCACTGCAACCTCCGCCTCCCGGGTTCAAGCAATTCTCCTGCCTCAGCCTCCAGAGTAACTGGGACTACAGGCGTGTGCCATCACACAAGTCTAATTTTTGTATTTTTAGTAGAGACAGGGTTTTGCCATGTTAGCCAGGCTGTTCTCAAATACCTGGCCTCAAGTGATCCACCCACCTCGGCCTCCCAAAGTGCTGGGATGGACAGGCTTGAGCCACCATGCCCAGCTCTAATTCAGGTCATTCTGACTTCAGAGCCCAGACCCTTCACCCAGCACTGAATTGGTCTAGGCCTTCGTGAGTTATTGTTACATCACCGTTTGGGAGTGGGCTACTTTTTATTAAAACCTGGGTCTCCATAACAGAGCGATGTAGAAAGAAAGGAAGTCATGGGTTGTACTCGCCATGCTTGCTTAGAGGGTAAAACTCAACCAGATGGGCGCAAATGATAGGCTGTGTCAAAATGAAATAAAAAGCCCTTTTCCTTCCTTCTGCGGCAAGCCAAAATCCTTCGAGGGCCTGGCAGCCAGGATTGTTTTATGAACAAGGAAATTCGCCTGAGGAAGTCGACTTCAGTCTGAATGCAAGGAAAAAAGTTGAGGTTAGCAAGGAAGCATAAGTCGAGGAAAGGCCCACGGGGTAGGGAGGAGGAGGAGGAGGAAGACAATTCACACCAGGTGAAGAAAACAAGCGCCATGCCTCAGTGTTTCCTCCAGCCCGCAGACTTCCATCGTGTTAACATGAGGTCGGAAGTCGCTGTCCTTGCCAGTGTGGACAGCAACGTCGAGGGCAGAGGAAGGGCAGAGCTGCAGGCATTCAGACAGCCCTGGCTGGACAGTAAGGGCCCCCAGGCACGGAAGGTAGGCTGTACACGGGGCATCCAGGAGTGGTGGGTCCACACCCCTCCATGGCCTTCACCACCGCCCCCATGCCTGCTTTCTCCTGTGTGGGAAAGACCTTGGGTTCCACAGGCCAGGCAGGAAGCTACAATGGTGAACCTCGCCCAGTCCGTGTGTGTGCTGTAGACAGTGGCCACAGAAAGGACAGATGAGCAAGTGACCGTTTCTAGTTGTTTTCACGAAGTTCTGTGTACTGGCAAAGCCTGTTGCCTTCAGCACACTCACAAAAAGTTGATTTCCTGAAGAAGAAAACAAGCAAACATTGGACACACGTGTGGGAAATGCAAACAAACACATTGTCACTACCGAAGGTAGAAACTGGAGCAGATACCTTATAAAAACCACTGCTTTAGCCAGGCGCGGTGGCTCACGCCTGTAATCCCAGCACTTTGGGAGGCTGCAGCGGGCGGATCACCTGAGGTCAGGAGTTTGAGACCAGCCTGGCCAACATGGCAAAACCCCGTCTCTACTAAAAATATAAAAATTAGCTGGGCGTGGTGGTGGACACCTGTAATCCCCACTACTCAGGAGGCTAAGGCAGGAAAACCACTTCAACCCAGGAGGCAGAGGTTGCAGAGAGTCAAGACTGGGCCACTGCACTCCAGCCTGGGTGACTGAGACTCTGTCTCAAAAAAAAAAAAAATTTTTTTTTGAAAAACCGCTGCTTTTAGGAATGTCAATGTGAACATAGAGTTTTTTCTAATTATTCTTACCTGCTGTGACTTTTAACCAAATAGAGCCAGTCAACGTGGATTAAAGGGAGTATCCTTTGAACCATAATAGGAAGACTAGGGCAACATGTACTTAGGTATCAAAATAAGCAAAGCACCGTGTCAGACGTTCGTTGGTGGGACCCCAGAATCCAAATGAGCAGTTTTTCCACAATCATGCACCCTGTGATTGCAGGTCTAGAGATCTGTCATTGTCATTTCTCTCTTTTTTTTTTTTAAGAGACAGGGTCTCACTTTGTTGCCCAGGCTGGGGTGCAATGGTGCAATCACAGCTCACTGCAGCCTCCAACTCCTGGGCTCAAGCAATCCTCTTGTCTCAGCCTCCCCAGTAGCTGGGACTACAGGCATGCACTACCACACCTGGCTAATTTTTTTGTATAGATGGGATCTTGCTATGATGCCCAAGCTGGAGAACCACTGTCACTTCTCCATCAGCTAAACTTTCCATGACCACATGGCAAACTATTTAAGAGGTTTAAATCTCTTAGGTCTTTCACAGCACTGAAAATCATTTTCTCCTCCTTGTTTAAGCACTAAATAATTATAACCACAGTGTTTGTTGAGAGCTGTGTGCCAGGCAGATAAGGAGGAAGAGGGGAGGACAGGGGAGTTGGGAGGGGAGGAACACCCTTCCCACACTTTTTCTCCTTTGACCCGAACCAACCCCTGGGTGGTGAGTGGCATCTACCCTGTTTTGTGGCTGGGAATAATAAAGCTCAATGAGATTAAGTCACTTTTCCTAAATCAGGACATTCTCTTAAGCACAAAGCAGTGCAGCCTACAGAATCGGAGGCTTAGAACATCCTCAATTGATGCAGCTCTTGAGCTGCCTCTGCTCTTCGCAGAGAGTTTCGGTGATTAATGATGAGGCCAAGGGATGCAAACAAAAATGCTGCACATTAGTCAGGGAGATAAGTCCCTTTGCGGAATGTCAAGACGGTGAGCAGGCGCGGGCGAGGGATGACTGTCCTTTCCGCAAGGTGAGCGTCACTTCTTTGACCTGCTTCCCTTTCCATTCCAGTCCAAAATCCATGCAGCACGCAGCCTGAGTGAGATCGCCATCGACCTGACCGAGACGGGGACGCTGAAGACCTCGAAGCTGGCCAACATGGGTAGCAAGGGGAAGATCATCAGCGGCAGCAGCGGCAGCCTGCTGTCTTCAGGTAGGCAGAGGCCAGCTGGAGGGACGCCCCCTGAGCATGGCTGGGACCCCAGAGGGGACCCAGGAAGGTGGGGAGAGCTGCAGCTGGGGAGACTGCAGGGCAAGCTGCTCCAAAGCTGGCTTTGCTTTCCAGACCAAGGTTGGGATCCAAATGCGAATCTGAGAAAACTGCTCCCAGGAATCAAATAGTGGAAGGGAAAAAAAAAAAAAAAAGCATCAGTAGAACCACGCAGTGCAAGAAGGCCTGCTGGTCACACTTAAGTGTCTTCAGGTACCCCCCAGAGCGTTTCACAATCCCCATGGCAAGCTGTCGGGAATGTCAGGTCCAAGGGTGAAAAGTGGAATCCGCTCATGTGCCCACTTGTGTGTTGTGAATTTCAGGATCTGGTGCCAGGAGACACTGCATTCTACTCCCAGGTGGGTTTCTCCGGCTTTTAAAAATGCGGAATACTCTCTCCATCGTGTCGCAGGGCATGATTTCTCCATTCAGTGCCTTTTGAAATTGCGAGTCAGAGATCTGGTTCCGTCGTCCGCTTCCGCCAGCCTTGGCCAAGTCATTTTGTCTTTTGATGTTGGGAGGGACAGAGGAGTTCCAAGGTCCTGGATCTGACTGACTTAAAAAGGGGGGTGTCATTTACTGAAATGGCAGGAGGAGGAGTGGGTTTGAAAGAAGCAGAGAGGAAGGGAGGCAGCCGTGGTTTGGAAATGTTAGAAAAGGGCATTGTGGCCGGGCACGGTGGCTCACACCTCTAATCCCAGCACTGTGGGAGGCCGAGGCTGGAGAATCACTTGAGGCCAGGGAGTTTAAGACCAGCCTGGGCAATATAATGAGACCCCGTCTCTACCAAAAAAAAAAAAAAAAAATTAATTAGCCAGGTGTGGTGGCACAGCACCTGTAGTCCCAGCTACTTGGGAGGCTGAGTAGGGAGGATCACTGAACCCTGGAGGTTGAGGCTGCAGTGAGCAGTGACTGCACTGCCCTCCAACCTGGGTGACAGAGCAAGACCCTGTTTCAAAAAACAAAAAAAGAAAAGTGGAATATGAGAAAAAAACCTGATTGATGTAGGAACCATGCAGCTGTCTCTGAGCCACGCAAAGAAGGCAAGAAATCTTCCCTGGTAATTTATATTACTATATATAGTGGCTGTAAACAATAACAAAAAGGAAAAGACAGGAGAGGAAGAGGAGCTAAAAATTGTCTCGTTAGCTTGTGGGCTGGTGTGATCCAATCATAGCCAGGAGAAATTTAAAGGACCAGAGAGAGGACAGACATCCTTCCTGGACTGAGAGGCGAGGTTACTGTTCTGGTGAGTGGAGCGTTAAGTTGAAGGCCCCTCCTTGGACAGGCTGAGGCCCTCCGGGGACCTTAGCAGTGTGTTCACACGGTCATGTGTTTTTATAAAATCTGTGAACATAATATGTTTTGTATTTTTCTTCAGTAGAACCGCTAAAGGCCAGTGTGGTGGCTCAGGCCTGTAATCTCAGCACTTTGGGAGGCCAAGGCAGGTGGATCACCTGAGGTCTGGAGTTGGAGACCAGTCTGGCCAACACAGTGAAACCCCATCTCTACTAAAAATACAAAAATTAGCCGAGTGTGGTGGTGCACACCTATAAGCCCACTACTTGGGAGGCTGAGGCAGGAGAATCACTTGAACTCAGGAGGCAGAGGTTGCAGTGAGCAGAGATCGTGCCAGTGCACTCCAGCCTGGGCAACAGAGCAAGACTCTGTCTCAAAAAAAAAAAAAAAAAAAAAAAAAAGCTGCTAAAATTTTATAAGCTTCAAGCCCCATAAACCTAGATCTGCCTCTGCCACATCACCTGGGGTCCATTGTCAACCCCTCCCTGCCTTAAGTTCTTCGAAAATATTTCATCCAAAAAAATGGGGTCAATGCTCATTCTTTCTGAAGCTTGGGAGTTGGCCATGAAGACTGCAGAGAATGTTGTCTTCAAGGATCAAAGAGAATGAAATTCAAAGACCAAGACCCCTACCTCGAATTACAGCCGCTCCCAGTCTCCTGCTGAATGACCTAGAGCAGAGTCAGAGCCAACACCTTGTTTGTGTTTTAAACACAACCTACAATCGCGTTTTTTCCTAACCCTGTGAAAACCCAGTGTCAGATGAGAGAGGCTGCATCTATCAGCCCACCTTCCCCCTTAGCACAGGGAATCTGGCTGACTTCAGCTTGGATTCTTGAAGCTCAGTGGTTCTCAAACTTCGGCGTGCATCGAAACCACTTGGAGGGCTTGTCAAAACCCCTCTCAGAGCTCCTGATTCTGTAGGTCTGGGGAGAGCCTGAGAATTTACACCTCTAACAAGTTTCCGAGTGAGGCTGATGCTGCTGGTCTAGTCGCTTTAATTGGGGAGACTCTCTTGTTGCTGAGGAAGAGACAAGCTTGGGGTGGGTGTGTTGCCCAGGCTCATAGAACCCAGGTGTGCCCAGTTTTAAGCCCGTGTCCTGGTCCATCTGCACGGGCCCCCTTGTATCTGGCAGACTCCAGGGGGCACCAAGGCAGCAATTTACCTTAATAGCAGCTATAGATGAGGCTGTGAACAGGAGCCCCAAACCTCCTGAGATGAAATTGACATCATGCACCATCAGAAATGAAATCTGGCCGGGCGCAGTGGCTCACGCCTGTAATCCCAGCACTTTGGGAGGCCAAGGCAGGCGGATCGCTTGAGGCCAGGAGTTAGAGACCAGCCTGGCTAACGTGGTGAAAGCCCATCTCTACTAAAAATACAAAACTTAGCCAGGCATGGTGGTGCACACCTGTAATCCCAGTTATTTTCGAGGCTGAGGCAGGAGAATCACTTGAACTCAGGAGGCGGAGGTTGCAGTGAGCTAAGATGATGCTACTGTACTCCAGCCTGAGCGGCAGAGTGAGACTGTGTCTCTCTCACACACACACACAAATGAAATCCAAGTGTCTTTAAGACTTAAAAGCAGTACATCTCTATGACTCCCCACAGGCTGGACTTTGCTAATCAATCTGGTGGGCTAGAAGAGAAATCCTAAGAAAACCTTCCTGCTTAATCCATCTGTACACCTAATAGATAAGCATCGGTATACCAATACAATGAAGCGATCTTCAAATGCTTTATCATTCAGCGCTGGGGCCCCAGGCTGAGGTGATTAGGAGTTAGTAGTAGCAGCTGGGGCCACTTGCAGAGCGGCTCCCATTGTCAGCTTCAGTGCCCTCAGCCCTTTCTGCAGCTGCACAGCTGAGCAAGAAGAAACCCTGGTGAGAAGGTGAGAAAGCCCCATGACTCAACCCGAGGGCAGGTCCCACTCTTACCAGCCCTGCAAGTTTGAGCCTGAAAAACATCCTTTAGTGCCAGGGTGGAGGCTCCTTGGGGTGCCCCACACCCACCTCCTGTGACTTAGGAGGGCCAAGACAGTGGGGGGACGCACTGCAAACAGGAAACATTCCATCAGGGAACAAAGGGAATTTCTAGCACCCCTAGATCTTGTTCTCCCTCCCGCTGGGATGGCTGACGGCTGCCTGTGTTTCCTTGCACCAGGAGGATAAAGCTTTCCCGTGATGAAAGCATTGGCAGCGCCATCTGGAAGGGGCTGATTCGACATCCCTTGCAATGGGGAAATCTAGCCTTGGCCTGAAGATCTAGGCGGCTGGCTCATCTCCATCCCTTTCTTCCTGCCTTTCTGCCCTCTTGCCTAGAATGTGTTCCCACAAAGGGGACAAGCCCCGCTGCTTGCAATTCCAGGAGAGCTCTAATTGTTAATACTCTTATTACACTTGCCGGATTTTATTTTCTGATGTTCATTCAGAAAAGGTGATATGTATAACCCAGTGTCCAGTTGGGTCAACTGTTTTCTCTCTTTCACCTCCTTGTTAGATAGTGTCTAATAATTGTTCCTTAAAAGCATTTTGAGAAACTAGTCTCCATTTCAGAATTTTCTAATACTTGCCCAGTACCCAACACCCAATAGGTGTTTGATGCACAGTTATTGAAATTGAATTAAATTGTGAAGGATACTAATAAGACTCCTGCATGTGCTGTGTTTTAGGAATATTCACCCCAGCACAGTGGCTCACGCCTATTCAGGAGGGTAGGGGTTTGGGGCGGTGGGGAGGATCACTTGAAGCCAGGAGTTCCAGACCAGCCTTGGCAACATAGCAAGACACCATCTGTACCAAAAAAAAAAAAATCTTCTTAATATAGCTGGACATGGTGGTGCATGCTTATATTTCCCACTACTTGGGAGGCTGAGGCTGGAGGATCACGTGAGCCCAGGAGTTCAAGGCTGTAGTGAGCTATGATGGTATCACTATACTAACAGCCTAGGTGACAGAGTGAGACCCTGTCTCTTAAAAAAAAAAAAAAAAAAGAATCTTCTAATCTATGTTCCTAGAGTGTATGGTACCCTGGGCCTTGCTGATACCTCCCATAGGATCTGTCTCCAGTACTTTTTTTCCCAAATTATATTGTAAGCCTTTGTCACACTGGTATGAGACCTTTAAAGTTTGTGTCACGTCAGTGTCCTGCAGTAGTATCCATCTTGTCATCTTTCAATTATTCTCTGACCCTCATCTAAACCCAAATCATGGTGTGTCTGAGCCATGTCACAACACTGTAAGATTTCTGTGGTATAAACATTTCTGCTAGCTCCCAACTCTGCCAGGTACTATACACAGCATTTTACAAAGTTATAGCCCTCCCCCCCCCCCCCCCCCCCCCCGCAAAGAGTTTGTGTACTGCTCATTGATTTAAAAAAAAGACGTAAAATGTTTCTAAACTATTAGTAACTTTGAAGGTGGTTTGCCTGTTTAAGGACACATAATTACCTTTAAAACTACTGAAGTCTAGTACTTGGTATCTGAGGCCTCAGATGCTGAAGAAATGAAGAATGTCATTGATACCTATTAAAGAAGCCAGGCCAGGTGCAATGGCTCAGGCCTGTAATCCCAGCACTTTGGGAGGCCAAGGCAGGCAGGAGTTCGAGACTAGCCTGGCCAACATGATGAAATCCGGTCTCTACCAAAAATATAAAAATTAGCTAGGCGTGTAATTACACACCCATAATCCCAGATACTTGGGAGGCTGAGGCAGGAGAGTTACTTGAGCCTAGCTAGGAGGCAGAGGTTGCAGTGAGCTGAAATTACACCACTGCATTCCAGCCTGTGAGACAGAGCGAGACTCTGTCTCTAAAATAAGTAAATAAATAAAAAAGAAGTCAATATCCATACCTACCAATGCCCTGAGCCACGGATTAGCATTTCAAATAAAAAAGTCAACATAGTTGACTGTAGATTTTGCTTCATTTTTATTTTTTAAACCCAAGATCCGTCACCAGATTCTTTTTTTTAATAGTAAATTTTTTAATTTTTTTATTATTATACTTTAAGTTTTAGGGTACATGTGCACAAGGTGCAGGTTTGTTACACACGTATACATGTGCCATGTTGGTGTGCTGCACCGATTAACTCGTCATTTAGCATTAGGTATATCTCCTAATGCTATCCCTCCCCCTGTCCCCCACCCCACAACAGTCCCCAGTGTGTGATGTTCCCCTTCCTGTGTCCATGTGTTCTCATTCTTCAATTCCCACCTATGAGTGAGAACATGCGGTGTTTGGTTTTTTGTGCTTGCTATAGTTTGCCGAGAATGATGGTTTCCAGTTTCATCCATGTCCCTACAAAGGACATGAACTCATCATTTTTTATGGCTGCATAGTATTCCATGGTGTATATGTGCCGCATTTTCTTAATCCAGTCTATCGTTGTTGGACATTTAGGTTGGTTCCAAGTCTTTGCTATGCTGTCACCAGATTCTTGACAGTCCTGCTCATCACACTGCAGATGACTCAATGGCAGATGATTTCAGCGTAGTTAAAGTGATTGGTTAAGGCTTGAGATCAGGGCCCTGAATCCCGTAGTAGTGATACGCAGAGCTGTCCCCTGTGAGACCCCGTAGACCTGTATTTAAGTGGAGGCCCTTAGAGGTGGTGAACCATCTGAATCAGAGCTGTAAGCCTGTGTTGGAAGAAAAGGAATGAAATTCTCACCTCCCCATGCAGCACTGAGTGGCATTCAGATGGGAGGAAAGTCGTGGAACCCGCGTCCTGAATCCATTTGTGCAGGTGCTCAGTGCCTCTGTTATTGACCACTGGAGGGGGAGCAGGCAGGGTGCATTGGATTCACTCTGCCCTGTGACAGCCCAGTGATTGCTTCCACATTTGTAGCTGCGTCTCTCTGTTGCTTTCACTCCTAAGTCTTCAGGTAACACATTTGCAGAAAGTTCAGGTACAGTTTGAGAGAACAACTATGAATTCAAACCATCTGGTTAAGACATGTTCAGGGTCTTTTAAAAAAAGAATCCAAAATCCATGTTGAAAGAACTTGAATGGGTTTATTCCTTCCTTCCCATCTCATGTTACTTGAAATTCCAGAAAATGTTGGAGGGGAGAAAAAAGGGAATAACAACAACAAAGCAACAATAACTGGGTGTATCTTTGTAGGTGAAGACACACAGCCCATTCATAGCTTGTCTGAAAGTGAGACAGAGCCTGAGATTTGTTCTAAGTGTTGTTTTGGGGATTTGCCATCAGAGAACAGCTCATTCATTCATTCATTTTGTTTTTTGAGATGGAGTCTTGCTCTGTCGCCCAGGCTGGAGTGCAGTGGCATGATCTCGGCTCACTGCAACCTCTTCCTCCCGGGTTATCTGCGATTCTCCTGCCTCAGCCTCCTGAGCAGCTGGGACTACAGTTGCCCACCACCACATTTGGCTAATTAATTTTTGTATTTTTAGTAGAGATGGGGTTTCATGATGTTGGCCAGGATGGTCTCGAACTCTTGAGCTCAAGTGAGCTGCCTGCCTCGGCCTCCCAACATGCTGGGATTACAGGCTTGAGCCACCACACCTGGCCAAGCCATCAGAGAACAGTTCTGATTTCAATGGGAGTTAGGAGAGTTAGTTTTTGTTCTCAGGCTTTTTAAGGAAAATAGCACAAACCCACTTAGGAAATACCCAGTGTGCTGCAGGGACGTGTGGCTTGTTGTATTAACCACTGAAACGAATAAATGGGACTGCAGCATTTCTTAAATGAGATGATGAGGCTGATCTTGGCTTCTCGACTAGAAGTCTAGGGCCATAAACGACCCATTCTCTGTAAAACTAAGGGATATGTTGTGTTTTCAAGTAGGAATTTGGCTGTGTGATTACTGAGATGGCCATTGAGTCATCTGCAGTGTGATCAGCAAGATTGCGAAGAATCTGGTGATGGATCTTGGGTTTAAAAAACGAGAAATGAAACAAAACTTGCAGTCTGTCATTGTACCCTGGCTCTGACACTTTCTGTTCTGGGAGAAAACAGGTTGTGCTAAACATGGGCCTGGCATTGCCTGGGATCCGTCCACATTCAGTCCTCAGCTGTTGACACACTCCCATTCTCTGAATGCTAGCACTTCCTCCCATTGTTAAGGAGTTTATTAATAACTAATGTAACAATGAGAGTGCCAGCTATCTGACATCTCTCCAAACAGAGAGGGGAGCTGATAGGCTCTGTCAGCGTCATGATGGCGGCTGTGTTCAGCTCAGAATTCACTGCCTTGCGCTGATATAAATCACACGACGTTTTTCGGTTTTGTCTTCATCCCTTCTCTTTTGTCCTTCCTCCTTCTCCTCCCTGTATCTCTGTTCCTGGCCTTTTAAAGTCCTCCATTACCCATGGCCTGTGGCCTCTCCTTTTAGGTCTAACAATGGACAGGATTCCAGGGGCCTTAATTTTGGTCATAGCCTCTGCTCTGCCCCAGGGCGCAGCCAAAGTCGGATTGTGCCAGGGTTTGTTTATGCTGGACCGTGTGCCCAGGGAGAGCTGCGAAATCTCTTTCTGGGGAATGGATGGTTCTGGACATGTTTGAGCAGGACTGGCCTGAGTCAAAATTGAGAGGGAGACAGAGTCGTTATCCCTTTCTGTTCTTATTTTGGGGGAAATAAAGACAAAGTCATTTACACAGCTATATTTATCCCCTGAGGTGTTACTAATAAAGGAGCATTTGCCCACTAAAGGGAACCAGGACCAAATGACAATGTATAACCTAAATGAATGACTTTCCAATGATAACTTTTTTTTGAGACAGGGTCTCGCTCTGTCGCCCTGAGTGCAGTGGTGCAATGCTAGCTCACTCCAGCCTCAAACTCCTGGGCTTAAGCGATCCTCCTGCCTCAGCCTCCTGACTGGGTAGGACTGTGATGAAATTTTAAATACTAAAAAGAGATATAACTATCACTTCCCACGAGCGTTTCTCTGTTCCCATTTAGGGCCAGCCCTCTGTTGCAGTGCTCCTTTGCTGGGAGCACAGAATGAGGATGACTGAAATTCACAGTTAACCTGCAAACGTTGGTATTGCAATAGCCTAACAAGCTTGGACCCAGAAGATAGGTCAGCTCCCTCATTTCACAGCCTAAGAAATGGAAACTGTAGGATTTACAAACCATAGTTTCAGCTGGGTATTTTACTGGATGCTGCTAATTTTTTAAAATGAATGTTCAGTTATTTTTTTCCATTCTCCTCTCTCTCTGTTAAATTACATTTGCACTCTTCACCGAGTGCCAGTGAGCCATGGAATCTAGCCAGAAAGCAAAGCTCTTCCAGAGACTCCCAGCCACCATCAAAAGGTGCTTGGTTTTCAAAGAGCTTCAATTTCAATGCTCTCTGAAATGAACTATTTTATTTCTAAAATTTCTAAGCCTGATGAAAAGTTCTCCAAGCATGCATTTTTTCATGTTAAAAATCACATCTAATTCTCTATAACAGTCCCCAGAGATGACACGTTTATCCTGCAGTCTGCAATGTGGCATTATTTCCCGTGGTCTCCTGGGACATCTTTTATGTAAGGAATTCATCACTGAGGATTTGTCAAGGAAATAAATATCTTTTTATCATAAAGAAGAATTCTAACCTTTTCCTCATATTTATTCCTGGGATGTCTGCCAAAACTTTTCCTTACAGCTTTTACTGATCTGCTGGGAATATACCGCCTTCTTCATTTTTTTTTTTTTTTCTCTAAGGTCTAAAGAGACGGATTGTCATTTCCCTTCTTTAGTTCTAGAACAACCGATTCCTTTCTTCTTTGGAGCATTGTTTGCTTTGAAGTTTCCCCTCCTTCCAGAGAGGAAAGCACCCCTTCTCTGTCTTCTGAAATCAGTGGCTGGTCATCAATATCCCCTCTGTGTCAAAAACAGATGAGCCACGCGTGGCTCCTGACAACGTCCTCCTGGCAGAATGTGCGCTCATATCCGGTGCTGAGTCGCCCAGGGTCTTCTGAACAATTGGAGCATTTCTGGCTCGCGGCTGAATGAGGCTGAAAGAGGCTGTCCTTCCATGTGTCTGCCGGCCGGGAGGAGAGCTGCTGTTTGTGCTGCTGGCGTTGCCTCCACATCCGCTCCTCCACACCCAGCTGTCCCCGGCTGGAGTCTGGAGTTCCCCGGCTGGAAGCTGGGAAACCCACAGTGACACAGGCAGTGTCTCCAGGGTCTCAAACAATGTTCATAGCATCGGGAAGTTCACTCCAAAGATTTCCAAATGCCCCCGAAAATGACTTTCTGACTTGGCGTGAGTAACTCCATCTCTCTCTCTGCTTGGATGGGAATTGTCTTTTTAGGGTCAGCCCTTTTTGTCTTCCTCGTTGGCCAGATTATTAGTGAACTAGTTCAATGAAAATCCTTTGGATTAGGATTGAAATGTGCTCATAAGGTCGCCAAAAACAACAGATTCTATCTTTAGTATCATTCAAGTAGATCATTTCCTCCCGATAACTGGGAGGAAAGATTTTTTGCTGGAGAACTGACCTGATGACACTGTTTTCCTGACAATAATTCAGAGGCAGGCTTAACCTTCTCAGAGAGGCAATAAAAAAAGTCACCCAGCTGGGTGCAGTGGCTCACGCCTGTAATCCCAGCACTTTGGGAGTCAAGGCGGGCAGATCACTTGAGGTCAGCAGTTGGAGACCAGCCTGGCTAACATGGTGAAACCCCATCTCTACTAAAAATAGAAAAATTAGTCAGGCATGGTGGCGCACTATAATCCCAGCTACTCGGGAGGCTGAGGCAGGAGAATCACTTGAACCCAGGAGGCAGAGGTTGCAGTGAACTGAGATCACACCACTGCACTCCAGCCTGGGCGACAGAGTGAGACTCCGTCTCAAAAAGAAAAAAAAAAAACTGGATGTGACCAGCTACAATTCACGTTAATTACCCAGTTAGCTCCCGGCTGTGGGTTCCACCTTCCACCTTCTACGGCAACTACTACCTGTCTCATTCTTTTTTTTGTCTGTTTAGAGACAGGGTCTCACTCTGTTACCCAGGCTGGAGCGCAGTGGTGTGAGCATAGCTCAGTGTACTCTCAAACTCCCGGATTCAAGGGATCTTCCTGCCTCAGCCTTTTGGGCAGCTGGGACTACAGGCGTTTACCACCACATCCAACTAATTTTTTTATTTTTTGTTTTTTTTTTTTTACAGATAGGGTCTCGCTGTGTTGCCCAGGATAGTCTCAAACTCCTGGCATTAAGCAATCCTCCCGCCAGGGCCTCCCAAAGTGCTGGCATTAGAGGTGAAAGCCACCAGGCCCGGCCTATTCTTGTGGCCTGCTCTCTTCTGCCTCCCGGCAGGCAGGTCTGAGCACTGGATGCATGTCTGCTGTTCGTGTCTCTCCCACACCACCGTGCACGTGGAAGGGGCTCCAGAGGCTTCTATTAGTCGGGCGTTGTGGCGCGCTGTAATCCCAGCTACATGGGAGGCTGAGGCAGGAGAATCACTTGAACCCAGGAGGCGGAGGTTGCAGTGAGCTGAGATCACGCCACTGCACTCCAGCCTGGGTGATCCAAAGAGCCCCTGCCCTGCTTCCTTCTCTTAGGTTTTGATGCTTGCACTATCACGCAAAGAGCCCCCACTTGGGAGTCGATGTGACTGCTTTCTACACAGGTTTACCAGGGCAGCCCAGCTGAGATCAAGACAGAAAGCTCCTACCCGTGTTGAGTTTTTATGCAAGAGGCAGAAGACAGAATAGCAGAGTTAGACTCCCAGTTCAGCCTCCTTATGACTCTGTGACCTTTTCTATGAAAATGGGAGGCCAGGCGCAGTGGCTCACGCCTGTAATCCCAGCACTTTGGGAGGCCGAGGCAGGTGGATCACAGGGTCAGGAGTTCAAGACCAACCTGACCAACATACTATATCTCTACTAACCCCATCTCTACTAAAAATATAAAAATTAGCCGGGCGTGGTGGCGTGTGCCTGTGGTCCCAGCTATTCAGGAGGCTGAGGCAGGAGAATCACTTGAACCCGGGAGGTGGAGGTTGCAGTGAGCCAAGATCAGGCCACTGCACTCCAGCTTTGGTGACAAAGCGAGACTCTGTCTCAAAAAAAAAAAAAAAAAAAAAGAAAGAAAGAAAATGGGAATGATGTCTCTGTGAGGATTCAATGAAGTGCAGCAGGTAGGAAGCTCCTGTTTAGGAGTTCTCTAAAAACTCATTTCCTTACCCTTCTCCTCCTGAGCTTCCTGAATTGATGTGGCCACGGTGGGTGGTACATCTGCAAGCATTCTACGTTTCCTTGCTTGTCCACGAAATGGACTTTCTCATCTACATTTTGAAGCTCTCTGAATTGGGGTGCAGACTCCTAGTAAAGGCTAGGAATAGTGGCGGGGGAGGGTTTCAGACGGGGTCTTGCTTTGTTGCCCAGGCTGGAGTGCAGTGGCGCAATCACAGCTCACAGTAGCCTCAACACCCTCTGCTGAAGGAATTCTCCCATCTCAGCCTCCAGCGTAGCTGAGACCACAGGCATGCACTACCACGCCTTACTAATTTTTTTTTTTAATTTTTGTAGAGACAAGGTCTGGCTATGTTGCCCAAGATGGTCTCAAACTCTTGGCCTCAAGCAGTCCTCCCATTTCAGCCTCCCAAAAGTGCTGGGATTATAGGTGTGAGACACCACCCCAGCCTCACTTTTTAATAGAAAGAGTAACTGGTATTCATGTAACACTTAATATATTCTCACCTCTCTTCCAAGCATCTTCTAAGCGTTCTCTTTTAATTCTCCCAACTTCTGAAGAAGTCCTGTTTTCATTCCCATTTTACAGGGGAGGAAACAGACTTCGAGAGGTTACACAACCTTCCCAAGTCCCCACAGCTGGTAAACGGCAGTGCTGGAACACACACCCAGCCCTATTACCTCAAAACCACTGGTGTGAGCTTTGGCTTTAGAGGAAGCTACATAACAGTTTGTGTCTTCTAAAGAATATTCAGAATACTCTAATAAATCTGAGTGTTGCCTGAAACTTTACAAAAATATATATATATACACATATACATATATACATACATATATATATGTGCCTTTCACAAACCGTATTGAGATCACCTCTGTTTTCCCCTTGACTCCTACACCAACTCATGTTTGGACAACCCTTTCCAGGTAGCACTTAGCTACTGTTTTCTCAATCAATAACCTTTGAAATCTCGCCCTTCTACCTAGAATAAAGAGGTTCCATCCATCTTCTACTTCATTAATCCCAGAGACAGCTCAGATTAAACTCTGTTTAGCTTTTGAGTTTACAAATATTTGCTTCGGTCTGTTGATGAAGCAGTAAATCCTTTAGGCACTGGTTAATGATGAGACACACCCTTCCAGCCCGGGAGAGGCTGTAGCAGTAACTGAAATGAGAGCAGCACTGGCAGAAGGCTAGAAGTTAGGAAGGTAGAGAAAAAGGGGAGGGAAGATTGTGCTGTGTATAAGATGCCTGTTGTAAAAATTGCAAAAATGACTGCTAGAGGCACGAGGGAACTATCCGAGTAAGTTGTTTATTGAGTAATAGTGAATTCAGTTTGAGGAATCTTAGAGATGGGTCAATTGGTAATTTTATAGATGGAACCATGAGATTAGTAACTCAAGGCGTTACACCATTTAATGGCAGATATGTGATGAAAATCCAGTGTCTTTCCCTCCAGTCACCACCCTCTCTCCATGATAGCAGATTTAGATCATTTAATTTTTTTTTAGTAGAGCAGGGGTCTCACTATGGCCAGGCTGGTCTTGAACTCCTAGCCTCAAGCAGTCCTCCCACCTCAGCCTCCCAGAGTGCTAGTATTACAGGTATGAGCCACTGCGCCCAGCCTATATCCTTTTTTTAAACTTTTTTTTAAATTTTTTTTTTTAAATGGAGTCTCGCTCTGTCACCCCGGCTGGAGTGCAGTGGCGCCATCTCAGCTCACCGCAACCTCCGCCTCCGAGGTTCAAGCGATTCTCCTGTCTCGGCTCCCCAAGTAGCTGGGATTACAGGTGCATGCCACAACGCCCAGCTGATTTTTGTATTTTTAGTAGAAGACAGGGTTTCGCCATGTTGGCCAGGCTGGTCTCAAAATCTGACCTCCTGATCTGCCCACCTCGGCCTCCCAAAGTGCTGGGATTATAGGCATGAGCCACGACACCCAGCCCTTTTTTTTTTAATTTCCAAGGGGCTAAACACAACCTCAAAGAGGTTTGCACTTGCAAAAGCATATATGTGTTCAAATAACTGAAAATGGATAAATCAGCATAAGCCTAGGTGCTGATTTGAAATTAGAATTTTTGGTTTGGTTTTGTTTTTGTAGAGACAGAGTCTCACCATGTTGCCCAGGCTGGTCTCATACTCCTGGCTTCAAGGGATGCTCCCTCCTTGGCCTCCCAAAGTGCTGGGATTACAGGTGTGAGCCACTGTGACCAGCTTTTAGTTTTTGACAGTCCCATTTCCCTGAGCCCTAAGGCTCTGCCCTGCCTCAATTTCTTCCTGGAGTCATTCTGTCACTTGAGGGCATCAAGGCAGGCAGTGAGAGTGAACCTCCACCTCTTGATTTCTCCCTGTCTTGTAGCTTCTTTCCTTCTTCCCTTTTAAAACCAACCTGCTGGGTCAGTGGATGCCTAGTGGGCATTTGTGGAGGACGTGGGAAAGCAGATCAATATCAGAGGGCATTTTGGGCTCCCTCTCCTGACGCCCTTTGAGCTGCTTCTGTGGAATGTTGCTGGTGTGTCCGTGTCACTGGGCACTCGGCCACCTCTTGCCTTGGTGGCCACGTTTGCTTAGTTGCAGGTAGCAGCCCGCAGGCTCAGATCAGACAAGCCCTGAGGTAGAGCAGCGGTGAAAGCTCCGAGCCCTTGCCCCAGAACAGTGGATTTCCTAAAGACAAAAAAGGCAATGGGAACCTCTTTTCGTTACAATACGGCAACCTGAATACATGCAGCAGGTTCACGGGGAGCTGCTCTGTTTTGAGGAACGTGGAGTGGAATAGGATAAGAATAGCCACAGAACCTCCTTGACCCCACCTCCAACCATAGCTGCCCCAAAGACCTAGCTGCTAACCCAGGGACTCAGGAAACATCGTTTGTGAACACTGTGTGTGTGTGTGTGTGTGTGTGTGTGTGTGTGTGTATATATATATATATTTTTTTTTTTTTTTTTTTTTTTTTTTTTTTTTTTGAGACAGAGTCTCACTCTGTCACCCAGGCTGTGGTGCAGTGGACCAATCTCGGCTCATTGCAACCTCCGCCTCCCGGGTTCAAGCAATTCCCTGCCTCAGCCACCCAACTGGCTGGGATTACAGGTGCCCACCTCCATGCCCAGCTAATTTTTTTTTTCGTATTTTTAGTAGAGATGGGGTTTCACCATCTTGATCAAGCTGGTCTTGACCTCCTGACCTCGTGACCCACCTGCCTCAGCCTCCCAAAGTGCTGGGATTACAAGCGTGAGCCACCGCGCCCAGCCATAACACTATGTGTTTTTTAAAAGTGGATCTCATAGAAGTATAAAGTAGAACAGAAGTTTCTAGAGGCTGGGAAGGGTAGAGAGAGTAGGTGATGGGGGAGATTTGTTGTAGGACAGAAATTACAGTGAGGTAGGAGGAATGTGTTCGAGTGTCCTATAGCACTGTAGGATGTTAATAGTTAACAGTAGGGTATTGTATAGCTTCAAATAGCTAGAGGGAGGATATTGAGTATTTCCAACCCAAAGAAATGATCAATGTTTGGATAATGGATATGCTAATTATCCTGATCTGATTACCATACATTATATGTACCAAAACATCAATGTGCACCCCATATTATGTGCCAATTAAAAAAATTTTTTTAAAGAAAACACTGCCTAGTTCGTATTGTTCCTTTCTAAAGGTGAGCTTTGGACCTCAAGTGTTACACTGAATTGGGTACGAAGCTCTTTGACCGATACTTCATTGAGCAACAGTGAAGAGGCAGTTGCAATGATTTCTCTTTCTAATTCTACTAGGACGTGTGTGCGTGCGCGTGCGCACACATGCTCATGTTCAACCTGCCCTAGTTTGAGGGTTGACCTATTCCAGGCCCAGTGCAAAGTGCTGGAGATGTGTTTTCTCATTCAGCCTTTATGAATTAAGGAGGGCAGGTAACTTACCCAAGGCCACACATCCAGTGAGTGGTTCTGACTTTATCAAACTCAGATCTGTTTTACCCTCTATCCACCATCCAGTTACCGCCACAGTGGAAATCTGCATGTCCAAGGCAGGCTGGCTCAGTGATTTTGCGGGGATTTGACCTGGTACCCAGACACCATCTTCGCCCTGAAGTAACTCCCAGGCTAATGGCATGAAACGGAGCCAACCAGCATTAGTGGTGCCAACCAGCATTAGCGGATACAGAGAGGGGCTCTTGAGCCATCTAGTCTGCCAGGACTTTCTTGCCTGTTTTCTGTGGGCTTGGTATCTAGGCTAATTATTGGAAATGATAATAATTTGGGTAGCATTAATGAGCCCTGGAACTCAGGGCCAAATCTTAACTAATCCCATAACTAGCAACATGATCATCCAAAAACTGTGTGCTTTACCTCCCTTGAGTTTCATTTGTAATTTGTGCCATTCCAGAACACAGTTAATTCTTAGATTGGACTTAATAAATCATTATTTCCTATTGAGAGGTTAGGCAGGGGTGAAAGGGAAAACAATGAATTTTTCACTTGAGCTAGAAATCCTTTAATCTTCTTGGACCCAAGTTTCTCTAGGTCTGTTTTTTAAATCTAAAGTCTGACTTCCTTCCAGTATTGTTTTACATTCTTATTAATTCTTTCAATGATGAAACGGAGTACTTCAGTAAATGTTCCTGAGTCTTCAGATGTGATTGGTGACTGTTACTAAGAGAACCAGATTAAGAGTCACAATGATTTAGCCATGTAACCTTGGAGGGACATAAACTGGAGACAATTTAGGATTGGTAAGCACAGGGTGATTGGCTTATGGAGAGAGCAAACCTGAACCATTTCAAAAAGGGGAACCTGCAATAATGTTCAGCGATGTGCTGTGTGAATATGACACTATATGGATTTAGTACCTGAGAACCATGAGGTCACGGATGAAGCTTTCTTGTGTCCAGTTGCATTTGGAGACCTGCAACTGAAGTATGTCAAAATCCAGGAAACAGCTACGAAAATAATTCAAAGCTCGGAAGGTAGGTTCCACGATGGAACAAATTACAGGTATTAGATTTTTGTTATGAAGAGGAGATAATTATAGCATCCAAGTATATGACTGTGAACATTTATTTGGTTGTTCATTCAAGCTAATATTTGTTAGCTGCTTTGGAGGCATAATGATAGTATGTTTCTGCGGTGACAGATATATTCTCTATTTCAAGCTCAAATTGAGGCAAGGGAAAGAACAAAACCCATGTTAGAGTTAAAATGTTCTTAGACATTGAGAGTTCTTGGTGATTAGGGTAGTAAGAGCCTGTATGTATGGTAATTGATGGAATGCAGGGTTTTCTGCTCAGAGACGTTAAATAGAAGAATAGTATATTTATGGGGACAATTTAAGTGAAGCAGAGCTGTTTGATGCCACGGGACAGAAGTTCTTTCTAGCTTTATGATGCTGCATTGCCTTTTCTACCATTGGAAGAAACAGAACTGTGGATTCTGGGAATTCTGACTGGATTATTCTCTCATCTGTTTACTAAAATTGTCCAAAAAATCCATTGTTTCCTATGGAAATAGAATTTTTTCATCTTCCTACCAAAAGTCCTGCCAAGGTTTTACTGGGATTGCATTGATTGATGGAGAATGGACATCTTTACAACATCAAGCTTCTAATCCTTGACCACAGTGTATCTTTCTGTCTATTTAGGTCTTTAGGACAGTTTTCGCGGTGGAGATCTTGCTCATCTTTAATTAGATTAATCTCCCTAGGTATTTGAAGTTCTTTGATGCAGTTGTCAATGGCATGGTGTGAGCCCCTTGAATGCACAGCCTCTAACACCTGTCCGTTTCTAACACTTCTGCTCACGATGGGCTTGCAAAGAAAAGTTGTAATCGGCTGGGCGCGGTGGCTCATGCCTGTAATCCCAGCACTTTGGGAGGCTGAGGCGGGTGGATCACCTGAGGTCAGGAGTTCAAGACCAGCCTGGCCAACATGGTGAAACCCCGTCTCAACTAAAAATACAAAAAAAAAAAAAAAAAATAGCTGGGTGTGGTGGCGGGTGCCTGTAATCCCAGCTACCTTGGCAGGCTGAGGCAGGAGAATCTCTTGAACCTAGGAGGCGGAGGTTGCAGTGAGCCGAGATGGTGCCACTGCACTCCAGCCTGGGCAACAAGAGTGAAACTGTCTGAAAAAAAAAAGAAAAAGAAAAGAAAAGTTATAATCAGCTTTTCCCTTTGTAGAGAGTCAGTGTTCCTTTTCTAACCCATCAAGGTAGAAAAAGTACAATAGCTTCACTCCAGGAAAGTTATTTCAGAATCCAAACACTGGCAGCCCAGAAATTACTCCTTTGGTCTAACCTAAATTCCTCCAGATGGCATTTCAGCTTATTTTCCTTTGGTTTGGTTTGAAGTTTGCCTTCCACAAGGTTTCCTATCGAGCACTCTGCTATTTGAATCATCATGTTTTACCCAGGAAAAGTATGTTAAAATATGTATAACTTTTATTAGGAGGGAATTTGCTCATGATACAAAACATGAAGTTAAAAAATACAATAGCATTCTAATTTTATTTTTTAAATATATGTACTTAGAAAAAAGGCCAAAAGAAAATGCATAGCAATGGTTATTTCTGGGTGATTAGTTAATGGACTATTTCTTATACCTGTCTACATTTTCAGGGTTTTCATCATAAACACACATTATCTTTGCACTAAGCAAAAATAATAAGTATTTTTAAGGGAACAAAATAACATTTTAAATACGTTTTAGGGCTGGGCACGGTGGCTTACACCTGGAATCCCAGCACTTTGGGAGGCCAAGGCAGGCAGATCACTTGAGGTCAGGAGTTCGAGACCAGCCTGGCCAACATGGCGAAACCCCATCTCTACTAAAAATACAAAATTAGCCGGGTGTGGTGGCGGATGCCTGTAACCCCAGCTACTCGGGAGGCTGAGGCACGAGAATCACTTGAACCTGGGAGGCGGAGGTTGCAGCGAGCCGAGATCATGCCACTGTACTCCAGGCTGGGTGACAGAGTGAGACTGTCTCAAACAAAGATAAATAACTCAATACGTATTAAAATTGCTGACATGAGCTTTTCTTTCCCCCTTTCTTGTGTAAAGTCTATTAGAATTTGCTAGTAAAATTTAAAAAGGTATGTGACATTTCTTAAGATAATTGAGAAAGATAAACTTCTTTTTCAGGAGGGTCCATCTTCCTGCCATTTCTTGTGACTGGCTATAAATTCCATGCAGTGCTGGAATGTGCTTCTCACAGTTAGAGTGCTGAGCACCTGTTTTATTTCACACTCCCTTGATTCCTGGGGTAAATCCCATCTCCGCAGCATGGGCTCCAGTTAAATTCATTAGTGGTCCAGATGTGTGTCCCCTGTCAGCTGGCCAAGTAACCCCACTGTTTATCGACAGGTTCTCAGGAATCAGATAGCTCGCAGTCGGCCAAGAAGGACATGCTGGCTGCCTTGAAGTCCAGGCAGGAAGCTCTGGAGGAAACCCTGCGTCAGAGGCTGGAGGAACTGAAGAAGCTGTGTCTCCGAGAAGCTGTAAGCCTTTCCTAGCTCATCCCGTTGAAATTGGTGTTGTCTGTGATGTCACTGATCTTTCTGATGTCATTTGATCTTTTTGATGTCATTTGACTGATGTCATTTGATCGTTTTGACAGAAGGCAAGGGTAGTGATAAAAAGAGGGCCTATCTGGGCGGCGAGCGCTCTCCTGAAACACAAATGTTGGAAACATCCAAACCTCTCTAATGTGCTTTGTCAGAGAAAGAGCAGAACCGCATTAGTGCAAATCTTAAGAAAGCAGTTGACCTGGCTGGGAAATGCACTATGTGATACTGTTAATATTAGCGAATTTTTTTAAAAGAATATGCTTAAAGGGTTGGAAAAAATATGGGTTTTGGTGTGTGCCTTTAATTATTTGGAAAGCCTTGTTTTGTTTTCAACAAAAGAAAAAGTCCCTAAACCCATCAAAGAATTGGTTGATGAAGCACTGTGATGACCAGTTAAAGTTGGTGCTGGCAAAATCCCAAAGAGGACCCCATGGGAGTCCAAGCGACAAGTCCCAATGATGATCCCTCATCCCTCATACTTGCATGGTGGTTCATAAAGCATCTCCTCACGTGATAGTGCCTCATCGATCATAATGGCTGGCCACCATCCTCCCAAGATTTTGTGCCTGAGTTTATTGTTGTGGTGGCTTTTGTTCTTTCTTAAGGGTATTTCAGACTTGTCTTTGGACATCCTATTGAGAAACACTGGTGGTCAACAAGGAAACCACGATCTCACTTGGTATATAGTCACCTTTAGACCCTGTGATCTGGTGTTTAGCTTTTTCATTTTAAAAAATGAAATCTTAGCCTAATGACATTTTTAAATTTTATGCAGGCTGGGCACAGCTGCTCATGCCTGTAATACTAGCACTTTGGGAGGCTGAGGCAGGAGGATCACTGGAGACCAGGGGTTGGAGACTAGCCTGAGCAACATAGTGAGACCCTGTCTCTACAAAAAAATAGCCAGAGGTGGTGGTGTGTGTCTGTAGTCCCAGCTACTCAGGAGAGTGAGGCAGGAGGATCGCTTGAGCCTGAAAGGTTGAGACTGCAGTGAGCAGTGATCACGCCATTGCACTCCAGCTTGGGTGACAGAGCAAGACCCTGTCTCAAAAAAAAAAAAAAAAAAAAAAAAGCAATGCTTTCTCGACCCTATGTATGTGCTAGTCTCACAGAAGTTGCTGCAAGCTGCTGTCTTTATTTATTTAAATATCCATTTCCACCTTTGTCTGTTTATTTCATGACTATTTGTTAGAAGTGTTTGAAGGCTTCATGTTTTAATGCAATACACATGACTCTGTGTGTGTGTGTGTGTGCGCGCGCGCACGCATGCACATGTGTGCATTGTGCACATGGGCACAATGGGGTGGGAGCTCTCCAGGGCAGGAGCAACTGTGCACCACCTAACCTTAGAAAGAGCTTCGCCGGTAAACAGTTGAGAATGGGAAGTCAAAAGAGGTTCCCAAAGTAAGTCAAAGAGACGTATACCCCTCCCCCAAACACTAAGGCCTTGCAGCGGGAAGAATGAAACAAGGGGCCGTGGAGTGAGATCACATTACATTTCAACTTGGCTTAATTATGGTCTGGATTGATTTAAACCGGAGCCAGCTCAAAGCAGAACCACATTAGCACAAATCCATTGCAAATCTTAGGAAAGCAATTGGCCTGGCTGGGGAATGCGCTATGTGATACTGTTAATATTAGCAACATTTTTATAAAGAATACGCTTGAAGGATTGGAAAAAATATGAGTTTGGGTGTCTGCCTTTAATAATTTGGAAAGCCTTGTTTTGTTTTTAATAAAAAGTCCCTAAACCCGGCAGGGAATCCACGTTTCAAAAAGGTAAGGAACATGTCAGGGCAAGATGAGCATGCATTATAAAAAAATCTCACCATCGCTCTTAAAAACAAAAACAAAAGAAGGAAAACAAAGCTGCCACTTCTTATAATGTTAACACCAGAAAATGTAACTTGAGTGGAAGAAATAACCCAACAAGAAATCAGTTGCAGGTAGATTTCTCCTGTGATCATTCCCTATAGTTAGTCCCACCATAGCCTCTTGACGCATGTGTAGTCAAGGGCTGGGGGGAGGTCTTGCTAAATCTGTGCTGTTCCTGCATCTCTCCCCTCAGCTCAGAGTATCAAGACGCGCTGCTTGACCCCTGGGGAGGGGGGCAACTAGAATGATGGAGGGGGAGAGCATTTGGCAGGATATAGGGAGGCACCAAGCCGAGGCCCCACTGCAGAGTGTTAAATTACGTCTTCAGCGTGCAGCTCCAGTTACACATGAAATCAGATTAAATATCTGGAGAATCAAGACTTCGACTCAAATACCTTCAAGTGGATGGTGAAAAAAATCAGTAGCCTCATTTTTTAAACTACATTTTAAAACCACCAACAGTTTAGAGTTACAGATCCATGGCAATTTTAACAACTTTTCCCTCCTTTTTGGAATTTTCTAAGTAAAAAAAAAAAATCAAGTCCTGACAATATAAAACCCTCAATAGTTGTGTTACTTATAGATAGACTTTTAGGGAAGCAGATTAAAAAAAAGTTGCGGAATAAACACTTAACTACTTTGGAGACATTTGAACCACATTTTTTTTTTAAAGAAAAAACCAGGGAAGAAAATTGCAGAGTCTGATACTCAGATAGTTGGCCATTGTGCTCTGAAATGCTTACATTGAGGAATATAAAGTCCACGGGGTCATTTCCCGGCAATCTGAACACAGCGAGGGAGAAGCAGGCGAGTGACGGAGTATGTGTTTATGCTCATGTCACGTGTACACATGTACACACGCACACACATGCACACACCATGCCTGCACATGCATACATGCGTACACATGTGCACACAGCAGTTGGAGAAGAAGGGCCAGCATCACACTCTCATGATTTGGATTTTCCCGCCTGCTGGGCACTCAGCCCTGGGCTGCCCTGCGCAAAAGCTTTCTGTGTAGATGATGGATATTCCTGAGAAAAGCCTCCTGAACTTCCTTGTCAGAGCAGCTCCTTCAGTCTTTGTGCAGCATCTGCGTTGATTTGGGCTAGAAAAGCCAGAGCTGGGCTTGGCCTGGAAGTGCCCACTTTGCCATTAGAGACAGATGCACAGTTGGTCCCCCAGCCTTTTCTGGTCTCTGGAAGTGACTTCTTGAATTTGATGCCTGGCCTCTACAGTGTGGGGCAGCCACTGACTCTGATTTGATCATTGTTCAGCCCTGATACAACTCACTCACAGAGAGCCTGATTCTAATCTTGAATCGCCCCCAGATCCTTAGCCTTTAACCAGGATCACTGTCACCATGGAAGTCTGTCAACTAAATTCACTGTCCTTGTACCCACAACAAGTAGATTTCCGGGGCCCAAAATACACAAAACAAGTGTTTTTTTAGTAGCCTTGTCAATAACATGGATTATATGTTCAGTTTCTACTAAACTTTTTTTTTCCTTAATAAACAGAGTCTCGATCTGTCACCCAGGCTGGAGTGTAGTGGCATGATCTTGGCTCACTGCAACCTCCGCCTCCCGGGTTCAAGCGATTCTCCTGCCTCAGCTTCCCAAGTAGCTGGGATTACAGGTGCTTACCACCACGCCCAGCTAATTTTTGTATTTTTAGTAGAGACAGGGTTTCACCATGTTGGCCAGGCTGGTCTCGGACTCCTGATCTCAAGAGATCCGCCTGCCTCGGCTTCCCAAAGTGCTGGGATTACAGACATGAGCCACCGTGCCCAGCCATTCTACTAAAACTTTTAAATTAAACAGTTTAATGTCTTTTAAGTACAGCCTATTCCTGTAGCATCTGGCCAGAGTAGGTTACTATCCTTACTCAGTTTCTAAATTATTTATCTATGCACTTTTCTGGGATTTGCCATATAGATACCACTCCTCTTGTGAAAATCCATTTGAAGGAAACTTTAAACTTAGATATTTGAGCAGGAATATTTGATGCAGTGTCAAGAGCACGGGATTTGGAGTTAGAGAGGCCCGAGAACTCACGCTGACACTGCTCCTCACTGGCTGGGTGACCTTGCCTGGCACAGAGGAGGCAGGCAGGAAATATCTGTTCACTTAACAAATGAATGAAATTCAAGTTTTATAATGAAAGTCAAATGGCAATTACAGAAATTTACTTTGGAAAAAACTTTGGAAGTGCAACTATTCTACATAAGAGACATTGTTAGAGAAATGAAATTTCATTTCTTGACCTCTTACTTAGGCATAGTGCTTAATGTGAACATTTCTAGCATAAGCGTTGACCTGTATCGAAGTGCATGCGTGCATTTTTGTGTGCGTGTATGTGCGTGTGTGTGTGTTCTAGGAAGCAGACACGCCCCACTCTGATTTGTGCTCACTCCGAATGCCATTTCACATATGCAGGAGCTCACGGGCAAGCTGCCAGTAGAATATCCCCTGGATCCAGGGGAGGAACCACCCATTGTTCGGAGAAGAATAGGAACAGCCTTCAAACTGGATGAACAGAAAATCCTGCCCAAAGGAGAGGTGCGTCCTTCCTTTCTGTTGTTGGATTCTCTCATGTTATCCTTGTTTTTCCCATTGGTCAGGCCTTCCAGGTTTTCTGTACCAATTTCTTCATTTCTGCCTAATGCCAGTATTTTCGCTCATACCTTTTCTTGAGTGAGCTGGCCGGTCAGTATGTGGTTCCCCTCGGTAGGAGTAGTTTGCTTGCATTTGCAGGCATTTGGGTGTCTGTCGAAGTTGCTTGTCTGACGCTGTGGGTCTAGCGCAAGCAGCCACGTTGAGCTTGGGGAAAACATTCCAGTAGCATTCACGTGTATTTGGCTTTGTAATGGCCTCTCAGCCCTCAGTGACTGAGAGCCAAGCTTGATGTGTGATCTATGGAAGAAAAGCTGCCGAGAGAAGGAAAACTTAGGCCACGGCATCAGGTGCAAGGGTACATTGGCTGGGGAGAGACCAGTAGGGTCCACCGCCCCGTGGTCATAGCCTCACCTGGCTACTCACATCCCTCCAAGAATGTGTGCAGGATGCTTGGGCGGCCCTGGCCTTGTTTGTCTGTGTTTGGAGAAGCTACGTCCATCCTTTGGACTGAACACGGGTGAAGATGGGGCTGGAGACTTCAGATTTGGGGAGAAAACAAACAAACAAACAAACAAAACCAAGACTTGACTCTCTGGCTGGTTAATGAGAATCCAGCCTCAGGCCAAGAGAAAGTAAAGGCCAGGTATACCCTCAGGCCCAGGGCTCCTGCCCAGGAAATGCTTTCCCAGATTTCTTCTGAAGGAAGTTACTAATTAACATGCTCTTGAACAGAGGCCTTAAAAGGTCAGGACTTAGAGCCAGGGGAAAAAGGAATGCTGTACATTTTTAGTATTTTAAGAAAGTGATTGGGAGAAACGGACACCTGGGGTAGGTAGGATTAGGGTGAGGGTGAATTCAGAGAGGGACCCATGTGCTTGTGGCCCATCTGTGTTAGAGGAATCTCCTGAGATCTGCAGTGGCAGGTCCTGGGACACTGGCAGACACACCAATGTGCTTCAATTAAAACTAAAGCTCATGTGGCCGGGCGTGGTGGCCCACGCCTTTCGCTGCAAAATCCCAGCACTTTGGGAGGCCAGAGTGCGCAGATCACTTGAGGTCAGGAGTTCGAGACCAGCCTGGCCAGCATGGTGAAGCCCTATCTCTACCAAAAAGATACAGACATTAGCCAGGCATGGTGGTGTATGCCTGTAATCCCAGCTACTCAGGAGGCTGAGGTGAGAATCGCTTGAACCCGGGAGTCGGAGGTTGCGGTGAGCCAAGGTTGCGCCACTGCACTCCAGCCTGGGTGACAGAGACCCTGTCTCAAAAAAAAAAAAAAAAAAAAAAAAAACTAAAGCTCAGTTAGGCAGTTCCTGGTCTGTAAAATGGAGCTCATAGCCCTTACTTCTTGGGGTGTCCCTGGGATTGAATGAGCCAGTGTATGTAAAACACGTCACTCAGTACTTGGCACTTGTGATGCTCAGCAAACAGTTGCTTGTAGGGGAGATGCAGTCTCAAAGGAGGGGTGCCACACCGTAGGCAGGAACTGCAGGGGACGGAGGGATTGAGGTCGGGTATTTCCAAATCCTGCTGGTCATCAGAGCCACTCTAGGGAGGAACTTCAACTCCCCCTGTTGCTGGGCAGATACCTGGCCCTTAAGCTTTAAAAAGGGACCCCACTTTTAGGGAGTTCCCCCAACACCCTCCTTGGTCTTCCCAGAGTCCCACCACACCTTTCACGCATCTCAGTACCGCGGGACTTTAGCTCCCTGAGAATGCCCTAGCCATGTGCTTCCTTACCTGTCCCCACACATGATCTTTCCTAAGTTCGTAAAAGGAACCAACACAGGAGCAGCTGGCATTCTGCGGGGTTCCTCTGGGAAGCATGAGATGATCACCTGGTCTCTACTGTGGCTCCTGGAAACGCACTTTGCTTCCCTATTCATATAACAGGCAGACATTTGCATGGACAGGGCATTCAGCCTTGGACTTGTCTTAGTTTAAATAGTGAGAATTTGTCCTGGGCTCCCCACAAAACTCTGAATCAGTGTCTGGTGCCAGGGCCATTGTAACAGCTCAGGAACAGCTGCCCCAGGGAGCCCAAACTCACAGAACAGTCTTTGTCCCTTGGTGACTTGCCTATTTCAAGACCACAGGCAGGAGTCCATGTTGATATTCTTCTCCCTCTGAGACAACAGCGCAGCCAGCCTTGGCAGGATTCAGAAGGAGTTTATTATCTCCGAAATAGTTCTCTTTAACCTTCACCTTTTCCTCTCGCTTCTTGTTCCTGCTCCCTTTAGGCTTAAAGTGCTCAAAAGTCAATGAGATCAGGCAAAGAACTTCTCCTTGATGGCATCCTCCAGCTTGGTGCATTGTGCCCAGAGGCAAGGATATTTTACTGAGCAACTAAACAGGAAGATCTGTTGATTCTAGCAAACAATTGATCTCCTCCTATTTGGCTAGATCAGTTCCCATCAAATTTCAGCGTGTCTGTGAATTTCCTAGGGCAAGATGTGTGCTCTCTCTCCCTGGCCTTGAGAAGCTGCCGATGCATTTGTCCTGGGTTTACTAGCTGTGGGGTTAGGCAAATATTCTACCTCTCCTTCAGGCTGCCAAATATGCCCACCTTGCAGGACCCTGTTGCTCAAAATCTCAACCGACAAGGTGCTGTTTAGAGCTAGCTCTGATCCGGAGGGGTTTTACTAGAGAAGAGAGGAAATAGAAAAATGAACAATCTGACGCTTTGCGGGGGATTCCGCATTCATCCCCAAATCCTCACGCACACATGCATGAGCTACCTCCCCCCATCCCTCAGCAGCTGGTGTACATACATCTGCAGAGGAGAGGCTTGGTCAGCATAGAGGACAGCAGCAAACATGCTGTCTAGGTGTCATCCGCTAGGTCCACCAGGCATTTTTGACAGCCACAGCTTCATTCTTCCCGGTCCCAAAACTCTGAGGAGAATCTCATCCATCCGTACTTCTTGGCTAAAGGAAGAATAGAGGTGGGAGGGAGCTACAGTAAAAAGAGGGGAAGGACATCAAGTGAGCTGGGGGGGTGGGGTGGGAGGGGGACTGCCTCCACCACCACCCACTGTCCATTTGTGCCCCTTGAAGGGCCCGGCTGTAGCCTAGCAGAGTATACATGAATAGGCAGATGGGGGAGGGACAGCCAGAGCTTGCAAAATGAGCTCCCATGGCCGGGCATGGTGGCTCACACCTGTAATCCCAGCACTTTGGGAGGCCAAGGCAGAAGGATAGTCTGAGGTCAGGAGTTCGAGACCAGCCTGGCCAACATGGTAAAACCCCATCTCTACTAAAAATACAAAAGTTAGCAAGGTGTGGTGGCAGGTGCCTGTAATCTCATCTACTCAGGAGGCTGAGGCAGGAGAATCATTTGAACCTGGGAAGCAGTGGTTACAGTGAGCAGAGATTGCACCAGTGCACTCCAGCCTGGGTGACAGAGCAAGATCCATCTCAAAAAAAAAAAAAAAAAAAGAAAAGAAAAGAAAAGCTCCCGAAAGACACGCGGGTGAGTGGGGGTACAGGGAAAGACAAGATATGTGAGTCAGAGGCCTGTGAGTTAGGCACACGTGAGGGGCACACAGTGTGAGAGTCAGAGGCCCGTGCATTAGCTCATGTGTGTGAGCTCCTTGGTAGCAAGTCCACAGAGAAGAATGGCATAAAGAAACTAAAAATCCTGCTGCATCCTACATCCAAAATGGAAAGGAAGTGACAGTCACTTGGGCTCTGAATCTCTCCAAAGGCTTTGGTTTGTCTTGATGAACCTTGCTGGAGACAGTCGAAACACAGCCAAGCGATCCCTAAACCTGCATCGTGGGAACTCTGTTCTCAGCGATGGCGGCAGCGTTCACACCAACACTTGTCTTCAGAAAGTAACAGGAGCAAGGGTTACAACAGTGGGTGTGCCTGGGGACTTCAGTGGGTGCAGATTTTAGGAGTGGGGCTACTCTTAAGAGTGTCTCCCATGGAACTGGACTTGCCTTGGGACAGGGGAGGGAAGGATGAGGGTCTCCCTGCTCAGCATCCCCAGTAACCCAAACCGGTGCTTTCCCTCCCACAGGAAGCTGAGCTGGAACGCCTGGAACGAGAGTTTGCCATTCAGTCCCAGATTACGGAGGCCGCCCGCCGCCTAGCCAGTGACCCCAACGTCAGCAAAAAACTGAAGAAACAAAGGAAAACCTCGTATCTGAATGCACTGAAGAAACTGCAGGAGATTGAAAATGCAATCAATGAGAACCGCATCAAGTCTGGGAAGAAACCCACCCAGAGGGCTTCGCTGATCATAGACGGTCAGTGCCAACCGGGCTGCCCCCACCCCACTCCCACGCCCGGGCCCCGGCAACCAGACGCCAGGTCCCACGAGTGGTCCCTGCACGACCTGAGCAGCTGCCTAACTGTCCGCTGCCTTCATTTGTCCATCCATAAAATGAAGCGAGTAAGGCCTGATCCCACATGAGAGAAACCAAGTGGACTCAGACACAGATGAAGGGATTGTACGAATCAAACTGTTGGTATCACTATTGGTTTCCTCCCTGGGAGAACCTGCAGCCAGGAGCTAGCATTCTTCTCAGCCCTTACTGTGAACTGAGCTGAGTTGACTGGGCTAGACCAGGCTCTGACACTCTCAGGGACCTGACCACCCCTACTCAAGTCTGGAAGGACAGGTGGGGCTGGGGTACACAGCAGCAGTGATCCCTGTCTTCGAGCGGCCCCCGCCAACCCACTGACCCCTATGCTGCCAGGGGCCTCCTATCCCAAGAGCTGAAGCTTGGGGAGACTGGACCATCTGATTATCTGGAACCCTGAGCTCCAGTCATGGGTTAGGAATTTGGGTGATGACCTTTGGTAAATTCTAGAAGGAAATCCCCCAAAATCCACCCACAAAGCATCAAGTCCCCTAAACTGTTAGAATCCTTCTTGTCTAAGTCAGTGAATTCTTGAAAATATATATCAAGCATTCTTTCCTCCTAAACACACATAAAGGTATGTGTGTTTAAAATACCTTTGCTCTAGAAAGACAGAAAGTAGAATAGTGGTTACTATAGGGGGCTTAGGGGACAGGGGAATGAGGAGTTACTGCTTGATAGATACCGAGTTTCAGTCTGGAAACATGAAAATATTATTCAAACAGAAGATGGATGGTGGTGACGGTTACGCAACAATGGGAATGTGCTTGATGCCAATGAACTGTACACTTAAAAATAGTTAAGCTGGGGCTGGGTGAGGTGGCTCACACCTGTAATCCCAGCACTTTGGGAGGCTGAGGCGGGCGGATCACCTGAGGTCGGGAGTTCAAGACCAGCTTGACCAAAGTGTTTCTACTAAAAATACAAAAATTAGCCAGGCGTGGTGGCGCATGCCTGTAATCCTAGCTATTCAGGAGGCTGAGGCAGGAGAATCGCTTGAACCTGGGAGGCAGAGGTTGCAGTGAGCTGAGATTGCGACATTGCACTCCAGCCTGGGCAACAAGAGCGAAACTCTATCTCAAACAAACAAACAAAAAAATAGTTAAGCTGGGCATGTTGGCATGCACCTATAGTCCCAGCTACTCAGGAGGCTGAGGCAGAAGGATTACTTGAGCCAGAGGTTTGAGACTGTAGTCCACTATGATTATACCTGTGAGTAACCATGCGTGCCAGTCTGGGCAATATAGCAAGACTCATCTCTGAAAAAAAAAAAAATGTTAACATGGTAAATGTGATGTTATATATATTTCACCACAATTACATAGATAGATAAATATAGATAGATGCAGATTTGCAGCCTAAACTCGTGAGCATCCTAGCGTAGCAGTGATGTGCTGAAGATTCCAAGATGCCGAAGTCAGAGCTCCTGGTTGCTCATAGTCCATCATGCAACATAAATAAAGTGAATTTCTAGTTAAAAAGAGAATTTTTTAAAATTCTTTTGCTCTAGGAAATTTGGAATGACCATCTTTCCCTATCTCATCCTGTTGTCCTTGGCCAAGACCACACAACTTTTCCCCTACCTCCTAGTAAAGCTCCCTCAGCCAACCTCTTTCTGACACTCCATTTGAGACCCTCTGCCCCCTCCAAGGCACTTAGGGGTTCCCAACAGAAACATGTTTCCTATAGAAACATCCAAGGACCCACTTGAACTAGAGGAGTAATTAAGGTTCTTGCTAGTTCCTTAGCGTATTATTTTAGAGATAAAACACCAAACTTGGAATCTGAAGACTTGGGACCTTTGCTCACATTGCTGGAGAGCAAAACCACCTCGGACAAACCACTCTTCCCTTCCTACCCCTCAGTTTCCCCAGCAGTGAAACAGGGAGGATTATTTTACCATCTCCCTTTTGGGTGTGTTCTCCCGGTTAATTGAATGGCATCTATAAAAATAAGCTTTGGAGAGATGGAGCCTGTATTTAGCACGCTTGTTTTCTCTACTAATGACTTACAAAGTTTATTGAGAAGCCATTTATTGCCACAGAAGCAAAGCAAAGTGCCTACCCTGGTTTCGCATTTGTAGAATCAAAAGCAGTTTGCGTCCTTTGGTTTTGCTGGTACACGCCCTGGGTTTGTGCAGGGACAATGATGTGGTTTAATCAGGCTGGGGCAGCCTTTATATTCGGTATGAAGCCACTCTGCATTGCAGTATTCTATGAAACCGGGGCACAAACACACAAAGGCTAGGGCACATGGGCACATGGCAGTGTCGGGGTGGGGAGGCTGAGCCAATGACCCACCACGGGGACTGACAAAAGAAACACCCAACAGCATTTTTATTGTATCTGGTGGGTTGTTTCTGGTTAGGAAGAGAAAGGTATGAGGTGGTAGTAGACATGCTATTTTTACAGATAGGGCTTTGCTGAAGGAATGTGCTGAACTCATAGGCTATTGCTTTTTGTCTTCTCAGATGGAAACATTGCCAGTGAAGACAGCTCCCTCTCAGATGCCCTTGTTCTTGAGGATGGTAGGTTTATGCATTTCCTGCTTACAAACCTACAGCTCAGAGTAAACAGAGATGAATTTCTATGTAGTCTGGGGATTGCCTTGTGTAAAGGCAAGAGCCAGGCCAAAAGGCAGCTGGGCTCCCTGCAAGCTCTCTCATTTCCCAGTATTCACCTCTTTGGTTGGGAGTGGGTAGGTGCTGCATAAACCCATGTGTATTAGAGCTTTTCATCAGTGAGTGGTGCTTTACTTTTTTAGAAGCCAAAAACTTTTTTTTTTTTTTTTGAGACAGGGTCTCACACTATTGCCCAGGCTGGAGTGCAGTGGTATGATCTCGGCTCACTACAACCTCTGCCTCCTAGGCTCAAGTGATTCTTCCACCTCAGCCTCCCTAGTAGCTGGGACTACAGCATGCCACCACACCTGGCAATTTTTGTATTTTTTTGTAGAGACTGGGTTTGCCATGTTGCTCCTGGGTTCAAGCGACCCACCCACCTCGGCCTCCCAAAGTGCTGGGAGGATTACAGGCAGGAGCCACCATACCTGGCCCAAAACCACGTTTAGCTAGACAGAGAATCTACACACTAGGCATAGCTTCCTTTTGAGTATTCATGGTATCTAAAAGAAAAGGGTAGAAATTGATTTAGATCACAAATCAAAGATTGAAACCCACTAGGAGAGTGTAAGGATCGTGAGAAGAAATGGAACACACCCTCTGTTGCTTCCCAAGACAGTAGTGAAAGTAAGAGGGGAGATATCCCAGTAGATACACACTCAGGCTGGAAAACTGTCTTATTATTTCCCACTGAACTCTTAAAACCTGGCAGTTAGGATATTTTCTTGGGAAATTCTTAAAAAAACAGAACTGATCCCTCCCCCAACCCCCATCACCACCATACGTCGGGGAAGAAAGAATTCCAAACCCAGAACCATGTGAGAATACTCCTGTGGATGTTTAACCATCGTACTGGGAGGCGGGTACATTAATTATATGGAAATATATTAAGTGGCAGTTAATTTTTTTGCCCTGTATGGAAACCTCAGGCAGGCAGTGATAAGTGGCTGTTCAGATGGAAAGCATGAAAGGTCCACACTAGTCATAGTAATAATGATAATTGCAATAATAATAATGATTGCTCTTGATGTGAGGAAAGTCTGGCGGATTATTTACCCAGTCACCTTGGCTGTGCTATTAGAAATCAGATTGGAATATATTTGTCTGCTTCATTACAAGCCGGGGACGCCATTGGGCTACAAGGAAATGGGGGGCTTGAGCATCAGAGATCCCAGCCCTGCGGTTGGCCTCTGAGTATCCCAGTCTCCCCTGGAAAGGGAAGAAAAATTGAGAGATTCCTTGGTAGTAGAGGGGTGCCTGGAGCAATAGGTAATGTCACGGGGTAATTTTGAGATATCATTCCGTGATTCCAGCTTCTTCCCCGTGTTCCAGATGCAGACCCCTGGACTTCCTCACAGGTGTCGGCACATCCTTTTGCCACAGTCCCACTGCAGGGTCTCTTTCTGGGGACTCTTCCTTTACTGATTTGAGGGCAAAGGAGGAGTGGGTGCATAGTGGGTGTCCACGGCTGGGGGACTGAGAATTAGGCTGTGAAACAAGTCGCTGGAAATGGATTTAGGGGCAAGTGAATGGTAGTTGGTTGGTTGTAAGGTTTGCTTCTGTGCTTTTTTCCCCTCCACCTCCCATGTCTGCCTTCCCTGTGAAGCCTGAATCGTTCCCTCCTCTCTCTTCTCAATGCTGACCTGCCCTAGCCTGAAGTCCTCATTCATCCCCCTCTCTAGTCTCTCTCCCTTCCTTTCTAGTTTTAGAACACTGCCAGGTGAATAGTTCTAAAACAGGATTTTTCACTCCGACGCATCCGTGCTTAAGACATCGCAAAGTTTTCCTGTGGCTTTTCAAAATCTCAACTCGGAATTCCAGGCCCCCATCAGTCGGGCTCTTGGCTCACATGGTGCACACAGAAGGCGGCTGTGCTGGCCAGAGCTCTGCCCTTACTCCCCCTGCCCCTCCTCACCAGCCCCTGCCTGGCCAGATGTGCCTGCAGCTGGTACCCTGCCCTCAGGGCCTCCACACTTTGGTTCAAGCCCTTCCTTCCTCCTCCTCTTTGCCTGCCCACTGCTCAAGCCCCTTCAAGACCAGCCTCTCCCACAGCACCTCCTAGACTCACTGAATTTGCTTTTTCTGAAAGTCCTCTAGCGCACTGACGTGTTAGATCATTTCTTTCCTGGAGGCAGGGAATCATTTATTAATACATAATCTTTGTAGCTCATCTCCTTAAAAAAGTTAAGGCAGTTTCAAAATTAAAATATAGAGGAAGAGATTAAAAGAGAATAAACACAGCTCTGGGGGAAAAAAGCAGAGTAGACACCCGATCCACCCAGCAGGTATTTACAATGGACATATAGACCCTCATTCATTTTTTCTTCTCCAACCAATGGTTATCAAGCACCTACTATGTGTCGGCTGAGGATCTAGCAGCAGATGAAACAGACAAAACTCTCCCAGAACTCAGACCCTCCCACAGTGAATCAGATGCTTAGCATCTGTTGAAAGACAACTTAGCACTACAGCAGTAACTACATTTTGCTGTTTAGTGTGAAGCAGTCATTTGTTGGTGGTATTTAATGACGTTCAGACTTCACTCCATTCGTGTCTAATCAAAAGTGACGCATCTCTTCCCATGCAATCCCGCCTGCAGTGGAGGTTTGGCTTGCCCTGGTTTGGTTTGACTCGTCTTGACTTGTCTTGGCAACTGGGGAAGAGTTTCAGGGTTTCTCATCACAGGGGTGAAGGTGTGGGTTTGGCTGTGTGGCTCCAAGGTGCGGGTGGAGGGGTGTAGGGGTTCTGTCTCAGCCTGTGGGAAGGATGACCGGGGCTCAGTTCCTCTCTTCCTGTCTTTGTGCAGAAGACTCTCAGGTTACCAGCACAATATCCCCCCTACATTCTCCTCACAAGGGACTCCCTCCTCGGCCACCGTCGCACAACAGGCCTCCTCCTCCCCAGTCCCTGGAGGGACTCCGACAGATGCACTATCACCGCAACGACTATGACAAGTCACCCATCAAGCCCAAAATGTGGAGTGAGTCCTCTTTAGATGAACCCTATGAGAAGGTCAAGAAGCGCTCCTCTCACAGCCATTCCAGGTGAGCTGCATCGTGAATGAGGCCAAATGAGGCCTCCCTCTATGCTCTGGAAGAATCAAAGGGCCGTCCCAAGTAGCATCCACGGTGACAAAATCCACATCAACCTAGTTCCTCCCCGTGGGGTTTGCCTTTCACGGGGCCGTGCTCACAGCGCCCTCTGCTGCCGACACTGTTGAGGTACATTTTTGTGACTCAGAGAAATTGGGGCTTTGGCCCACAATCAACGTGATGGCAGATGGTTTGAATGCTGTTAAATTCCAGAGGAATTAATTAGGAAATCTCAGGCAGCGCTATTCTGAAATAGCAAGTGAAAGTCCACTCGGAGCAAATGCAGAGTGGTTCAGAACTCTACCCCCTCATCCAGCAGAATTCTCCAGCCAAGCAGCTGTAATCCAAGCTGTGTATTATCAGCTCATTACCGGGCTGACTTTGTAGGGAGGTTTTTTTTGGGGGGGAAGGCATTTTCGGTCTGCTTCTCTGTTTTTCCCATTTCCTTTAATCACCCTACCAAGCTCCAAGGGGGGTGCCAGGACAGGTAAATATTTGTTTCTTGGAAAACAAAAACTGTAAGGGCAGGACCGTCACACTGCCTGACACAGAGAAGGCTGACCAGGGTTTTCCTCTCATATTGCCTAGGTTGGGAGGGGGGAGGGCATACCCCCTGCTGGGGAAAGGCTGAGAACCACAGTAGAGGTCTGACCAAGCGAGGTGGGAGTCACGGGCGAGCTTTCCCCACATGCTGGGATCATTGTCCTGAACTAGCCAGCCCCCCAGGAAAGGTGCTGTCTGTCTGGCGGTGACCACGTGGCATCCTTGGCTTTGCAGCAGCCACAAGCGCTTCCCCAGCACAGGAAGCTGTGCGGAAGCCGGCGGAGGAAGCAACTCCTTGCAGAACAGCCCCATCCGCGGCCTCCCGCACTGGAACTCCCAGTCCAGCATGCCGTCCACGCCAGACCTGCGGGTCCGGAGTCCCCACTACGTCCATTCCACGAGGTGAGTCTGCCTGGCCTTCCTGCTCAGACCAAGCCTTCCTTTTTAAAATTGGGCATTGTCAGCCCCAAGCTGGCCCAAATAATGGATGAGCTACAGTCAGACCTGAACCTGGGAGGATAAATGAAGCGGAATAAAAAACCAAGCTGGCAGCAGTCAACCCCCGTTAGCCAAGAGACCCATGCACAGGGCACTTGGAGTCAGCCAAAGAATCCCCGGGCTTCTGGAGACAGGGAGCATGGAAAGTTTCCTAAGCAAAGCAGAGGCCACAGAGGCTGGCTGGGTTAGCATGGGAAGAGGTCTTCTATCTTTCTACTGAGGCCTAAATTTATACTGGACTTCCTTTAGTGCCTCAAAATGTAAATTCATAAAGAGCAAAAGAGCCAGGCAAAAATGAGGCTTCAGTGAATCACACCTTCTGTTTCTTTTTTTTTTTTTTTTTTTGAGATGGAGTCTTGCTCTGTCACCCAGGCTGGAGTACAGTGGCGCGATCTTGGCTCGCTGCAACCTCTGCCTCCCGTGTTCAAGCGATTCTCCTGCCTCAGCCTCCCAAGTAGGTGGGATTACAGGCACCTACCACCACGCCTGGCTAATTTTTGTATTTTTTAGTAGAGACGGGGTTTCACCATGTTGGCCAGGCTGGTCTGGAACTCCTGACCTCAGGTGATCCACCCACCTTGGCCTCCCAAAGTGCTGGGATTAGAGACGTGAGCCACCGCTCCTAGCCACACCTTCTTTTTCTAAAAAGAAGCAAACCAGATCACGGAGGGCCACGTGATGGGGGCTTTCATCCCCCTTCTGAGTGGCAGTCGGAAGTGGGACTCGCCTCTTCCTGTGCTTGGCCCGTGGGGCCGCTGTGAAGTTCACATGCAGTCCCAGCATCGGGCAACATCATCTGCCATGTGATACTGTTTTGCACTTCCCTAAGCCCTGAGTGGACTCAAACGAGCAGAATGAATTATAAAGTAATGGTATGGTGAGTATTTGCATCATTCATTGTTTAATTATCTCATTTGCCACCAACCTTCTATTTCCCAGTTTTCACAGGAAAGGGGAGTCTATTTATATGGATCATGTAATAGTATTTGGTTAAACAATATGAAGGGCCTCTGTAGGACTGCTTTTATCTGATCTGTAAATAGGGACATTTCATCTGGTTTGTGTTTTCTTTTTTTTTTTTTTTTTTTTTTTTTAAGAGAGACAGGGTCTTGCCCTGTTGCCCAGGCTGGAGTGCAGTGGTTTGATCATAGCTTACTGCATCCTCAAGTGATCCTCCCTCTTCAACCTCCTGACTAGCTGGGACCCCTGGTGTACAACACTACACCCAGCTAATTTTCTAATTTATTTGTAAGAGATGAGGTCTTACAGTGTTGCACAGGATGGTCTCAAATTCCCAGGCTCAAGCAATTCTTCAGCCTCCTGAAGCACTGGGATTACAGGCGTGGACCACAGTGCCCAGCCCTATCTGGTTTAACATGATACTAAGGATTCTGTGATTCTCTTTGTGTCTATAGAATTATTTAAAAAAAAAAAAAAACCCAGAAATCGAAACCTTTCTGTGAGTCCTAGCTTCAGTCCCACTTCCCACTGGGAATCATGGTGGAGACCCCAGGTTCACCTCCCGCAATGGGCAGTTCCCGGATCCCTGGGGCAGCCCTGCTGAGTGAGACTCTGGCTTGCTGGGCTGGGGCCTGCGCCCGCGTGCAGACACCCAGTGCCCTCCTCAGGACCCCCTCCTCCCCGGAGCACCCCTCCTTGGGCCCACTCCCCACCCCCAGACCAACCCGGGTCGTCTCCCGGCAGGTCGGTGGACATCAGCCCCACCCGACTGCACAGCCTCGCACTGCACTTTAGGCACCGGAGCTCCAGCCTGGAGTCCCAGGGCAAGCTCCTGGGCTCGGAAAACGACACCGGGAGCCCCGACTTCTACACCCCGCGGACTCGTAGCAGCAACGGCTCAGACCCCATGGACGACTGCTCGTCGTGCACCAGCCACTCGAGCTCGGAGCACTACTACCCGGCGCAGATGAACGCCAACTACTCCACGCTGGCCGAGGACTCGCCGTCCAAGGCGCGCCAGAGGCAGAGGCAGCGGCAGCGGGCGGCGGGCGCACTGGGCTCAGCCAGCTCGGGCAGCATGCCCAACCTGGCGGCGCGCGGGGGTGCGGGGGGCGCGGGGGGCGCGGGGGGCGGTGTGTACCTGCACAGCCAGAGCCAGCCCAGCTCGCAGTACCGCATCAAGGAGTACCCGCTGTACATCGAGGGCGGCGCCACGCCCGTGGTGGTGCGCAGCCTGGAGAGCGACCAGGAGGGCCACTACAGCGTCAAGGCTCAGTTCAAGACGTCCAACTCCTACACGGCGGGCGGCCTGTTCAAGGAGAGCTGGCGCGGCGGCGGCGGCGACGAGGGCGACACGGGCCGCCTGACGCCGTCGCGATCGCAGATCCTGCGGACTCCGTCGCTGGGCCGCGAGGGCGCCCACGACAAGGGCGCGGGCCGTGCCGCCGTCTCAGACGAGCTGCGCCAGTGGTACCAGCGTTCCACCGCCTCGCACAAGGAGCACAGCCGCCTGTCGCACACCAGCTCCACCTCCTCGGACAGCGGCTCGCAGTACAGCACCTCCTCCCAGAGCACCTTCGTGGCGCACAGCAGGGTCACCAGGATGCCCCAGATGTGCAAGGCCACGTCAGGTGAGAGGGGGCGGCCAGGTGCACGCGGGAAGACCTGAGGGCGAACTGCTTGCCGGTGTCAAGGGCTACCGCGGGGAAGGTACCCTTAGGACTGGGTGCAGTGAGGAACGGGAATCATTAATTAATTCTGGGAACGCTGCTGTTAGATGCGGGAGACTTGAGGTCTTCCAGGCCTTTGTTGACCCCGCCCCGTTCTAACCCTAATCTTGCACCATAACCGTGCACCTGACCCTCCAGAGTGCACTGGGCCAGCTCTCCCATTTCTCCTTGTAAAGACAGAAATCTAAGAAAGTTAGTTAGGTAAAGTAAAAGTAATGTCTCTGGGTTTATCCAACCAAAGGTGTCTTTTACCCTAGTGAGGAGAGTATCCCAGTGAAAGCCCACAGCTGTAGCTTGCAAAGGAAGCTGGGTTGGGGATGGGCTTGGGTCAAGCCTAGAGATTTGGCCAGTGTCTCCCCAGATGGGGGCAGACTGGCTAATAAACAGTGCCAGAGCTGTGCGTTTGACAGAATTCCTGGCTGCTCCTGGCTTTCCCATTTCGATGATGATGTTATGCCATAGCCACAAACTATTATTTAAGTGTCTTAAATATCCTTGACGTTATATCTGAAAATTTCTATAAAGTTTACCTTATATTCTCATACTCAAGAGCATTGGGCGGTATTGAATCAAGTAAAAAACAAAAAAAAAAGGAAGAAACCACTCATTCCCTTAAGTTACATTTAATAACAGTGACAATGACCAACATTGAGCAGTTGCCTCGTGCTCCGGTCTCAGCACTGGCTTATTAACATACTCTTACCACTCAGAGAGGGACACTGAGGAGAAGAGAAATGGTAAACATCATAAGAATAAAATGAGAGGTAAGAATAAAATGAGAGTCAGAAGCAAATGGGAGGAACTCTGAGTCAGGAATTTGGTAAAGATCGGGGGAAACAGAGTGACCTGAGATAATGGGGGGTTCATCTTTGGGGAACTGTAGGAGATTCTTGGTGCCTGGAGACAGCAGGGCAAAGAGGAAGGAAGAACCTGGATGCCCTAGCGAGCCAGGCTCTGGCATTCTATCCCCACATCCCCGTGGACGTTTATTAGGGTCCACTGGCCAAATGACAAGCTCCAAAGATCAGGTAATGGTGGGTGTTCCGTGGACTTCGGGGTCCCAGAACCTTCTTTATGTTCCTTCTTCATCTGTAAAATAGCCCAGTGAAATTTGCCATTGACTCCCCAGGAAGATCTTGAGTATGATCATTCTGTGACCCTATTAGATAAAGAACCAACGTTTTGTAAATATCTCCAACAAACAGGAGGGTTTATGTTCTATCAAAACTGCAGCACTGGTCTAGTAGATTTGCTTTATGTAAAGAGATGAGGTAGATCTTTTGGAACATATTTTAGACTAAAATTGTTAAGCTGTATCTGAGGTTTACTGATGGAAAGGATTCCTTTACCAAAAAAGCAAAGGATGCATTTACGTAGGATTGACTTCCTACTAAATCTTTCCAGCTGGACTTCCATGCTGCCTACATCAGTAAATGCGTAGTGGTCAGGTTTGGATGAGCTATTAAAAGCCCTGCTCCCTTCAAAGCGCCCTACAGTAGCAATGATAAGCCTGAAACAGCAGAGAGAGCAGGCTCTGAGAACCTTTCTGGATGCCCTCTCTTCACAATGGGGAGAAACAATTTCATAACAGGGCCACACTGAAAATGCCCTGGGGCCAGAGAAATATGCCCTCCCTGTATGAGCCCTGCTCAGGTCTCGCTCAAAGGACTATGGGGACATCAGATTCTTTGCTGCTGTAGAAACCGTCACCATCCCTATGCCTACCTCCTGGTGGCAAAGCGGGGACCTAGGATCCCAGGTCAGCTTGACTCAGAATGAAGGTGCATGGTAGTGGGTAGAAAATGGAATGGGTGGGATGCAGAGGTTGGGGGGGCATGTAGAGATGGTTGCCCACTGTGACCATGCCATAGGGATGCTGAGACCCTGCTCTGGGGTCCTTCCCAGCATCCCTGGAAATGGTGACCTCTGGCCACTGGGTTGGTGTCAGCCAACAAGTCGCAAGCTCTTTCACCTGTGTCTGATCCCTGTCTGCTCTCTGCCTTTCTTGCACCACCTGCATGTAGCTGCCTTACCTCAAAGCCAGAGAAGCTCGACACCGTCAAGTGAAATTGGAGCCACCCCCCCAAGCAGCCCCCACCACATCCTAACCTGGCAGACTGGGTGAGTTCTCCTTCTATGTTCTTCACTGTGTCAGCTCGAAAGAGTGTCATAGACGTTCAGATCCTGGTGACATAAGGATATGTCAGTAAATGGATGATGAGGGTTCATCACTGGGAGGTGTCTTCCTTTCAAGAGAAGCCCCATGATCTGCTGTCACCTCTGCCTACTCCTTTTCCTGGCTGTGCCTTTATAGAGGTGAATTGTCTGTGTTCTCTTAAAGTAGGCGGTGGTCCTTGGGATGTGGGGAGATGGAAGCACGAAGTGGGACTGTGCTTCTTTGGTAAGATTTCCAGACAGCATTTCATTTCGGTTTGGATTATACTCAGGCTGACTCAAAATGCCAGGCAAGAATGTCAGGGGGAGAAAGAGAGCTGATGAAGACAGCAAATACACTGGGGCAGGTGAAACAGCCAGTGTCTTAGGATGTCTCAGGGTGCAAGAAAAAGGGCTGTGTCCTGGCCAAGCACTTGCTCTTTCTCAACACACAAAAGAGATCAGGTGCCCTGAAGCCTTCAGTGGAAGCTGCACACAACAAAATTAATGAAACCGAAAGGCAGCTCCCTTTGATAGCTTGACATGTTTGCATACAGCATTATCATCTCGGCGCCAGTGAGGCTATTCTGAACTACTGGAGGGTCTGGCAGACACAGGTAACCCGCCTGGCCCTACAGCACCTGCCTCTTCTGTTGCCCCTGAGACATCATCTCTAAGTAGATGTTAGGTTCTGTCAACATCTCATCTGTTGGTTAGAGGAGTTAAGGAGGCCCCTTCCTCGGTTTGTCTGGTTCCTGGTTTGGTGGAGCATCAGGGGGATGTCTGGGAAAACCTGACAACTGGCTGTGAGTTGAATCATGAGAAAAGCACAATTCCAGAATTGGCTGTATTGTCTGCCTTTCAGGCTCTCATACTTGGCCTTTTTTTGAGACGGAGTCTCACTCTGTTGCCCAGACTGCAGTGGTGCGATATCAGCTCACTGCAACCTCCATGGTTCAAGTGATTCTCCTGCCTCAGCCTTCCTAGTAGCCGGGATTACTAGTGTGCATCACTACACCTGGCTAATCTCTAGTAGAGACAGGGTTTCACCACGTTGGCCAGGCTGGTCTCGAACTCCTGACCTCAGGTGATCCACCCACCTCAGCTTCCCAAAGTGCTAGGATTACAGGCACCTGGTCGGCATTTTTGTTCCTGCAGGTTTATCTGTGGTAATTTTTTTACACCAGGTTTTCTGGAGCCTTCATTTTTGGCAAGAAAGGGTCCTAACACTTACTGAGTGCTTGCTGTGTACTCAAAGGCTGCGAGCAGCTTCTAACACACATGAGCTCATACAATCCTCATCATCCCCTTGCGGGGGAAATACCCAGATGTTTTCGTTTCATAGATGAGGCTCAGAGGAACTAAGTGCCTGGCCCAAAGTCTGACAGCTGGAGGGAGCTGGAATTCCAGCTCTGCCCTCTGTGACCCCAAACCCTGTCTTTCCCCACTATACCGGTAGTTAAGTGTGATCCCAAAGCCAGCAGCACGAGTGAGCCTCACCTGGGATCTTGTCAGAAATGCAAATTCTCGGGCTTACCTGTAACACAAAAAAAATCCAAAACTCTGGGGGTGAGCCCAGCAGGCTGCATTCTGATAAGCCCTCCAGGTGATGCTGACCCACACTCAAGTTTTGACAACCACTGAACGATCCCCTGCTGCCTCTGATTCCTTTTAAAATAAGAGAAACTGGAGCCCCAGCTCGGTGTTCCTGTGTCTGCTCCTACTTCTTGGGCTGTCTGTTGGACAGTAGCTGCCCCTTTGTCCTTTAGATCATTAACACTCACCCACCCACACCCCAGCTCTCACCTGTTTGGCCAGGCAGCCTCTGCAAGGTTTGGGGTCTAAGATTAACTCATAAAAGAATGACACATCTTTCATATATGTAATACATACCTCCAGTGACTAAACAAGAAACTTCAGATTGCAAGATCCCTCTCTAGATCTTCCAACTTTTCTGAATCATGCCCAGTCTCACCTGATCCAAATATATGATTGATTGTATTATTTGGCTGTCAACAGGCTCCGAAATGTACAAGCCCTCCTCAGGGTCCTATGCACTTAAGATGGTCTTGAAACCTGCCTATTTCACCACCTACAACTAGTGAGGACTCAAGCCAAATTTGAAAAACAGCAATTTTGGTTCTTGGCATAAACTGTTTGCTATGATGTGATACAAAATGAGGCCATGGGTAAAAGAGGGCCCGTCCCTCCTAACAAACTAGGTATTTTGACTCAATTATGGGGACTGAAAGTACTGCATGACTTGTATGATCTGTTGCTAACTCAGGTGTCTAATCAGCAAGCCTTTCGGATATATTAATAAGCTACTAATCGTGTCTGTGTCTGTGTCAGTGTCTCTCTGTAACATGACCTCTCTTCTCTTCCTCCTCCTGCTTTCCTTTGTTCAGAGAAGCAACAGAAAACTCACCCATTCTGGATGGGTCTGAGTCTCCACCTCACCAAAGTACTGATGAATAGAGGTACCGTAAGGGGAGTTTTGTTCCTACTGCCCATGAGTCTGTGGTCCCACATGTGTTGCTTTTGTCCATGTCATCATTTCCACAAGGATACATCTGAATGCTGTATTTATGCCTTATTTCTAGATACATGGGGAACTGGAACTATGTTTTTAGCTGAAGGTTCTTACATCAAAATTATGATATTCCTAACACTGCTTCCCAGAAAAGACCCCCAGAGTATGTTTTGTTTTGAGACAGAGTCTTGTTCTGTTGCCCAGGCTGGAGTGCAGTGGCATGATCTCGGCTCACTGCAACCTCTGCCTCCCAGGTTCAAGCGATTCTCCTGGCTCCCTAGTAGCTACAGGTGCATGCGTGGCTAATTTTTGTATTTTTAGTAGACACGGGGTTTTGCCATGTTGGCCAGGATAGTCTCAAACTCCTGACTTTAAGCTTTAAGTGATCTGTGCGCCTGGCCCCAAAGTATATTTTAGACTCACCATGTTCTATCTACATTCAAAGATTTGTAGACATTTTACTGTGAGTAATCAGTGTCCCTGAAAAGAACAGCATCACTGCAATGTAAGTTTCAAAGCACCAAGGGCCGACTCAGTGGCTCCAGAAGCACCCCCAGCATTCTTGAGTAACAGCTGTGCTGAGTACCAAAAGCTATGAGCACTGCTTTTCCAAATGTCCATAAGCCAACATTTTTATCACTACCACCATCACCTGGGAGCTCGTTAGAAAGCTAGTCTCCCGGGCACCACCCTGGCCTACTGAACCTAATGTGCATTTAACAAGATTCACGTCGAAATCTGCAAAGCACAGGGGCAGATAACAGTACCACCTGGTCTGGTTCCTAGCCCCAGGACCCTTACAGTCTAACTGGGACACAAGGGCTTGAAATCAAATTGCCTATCAGAAGATATACAAGGAGCATGAGAAACTGCTACACTTATGTATTAAGTGCTCTAAGACTTAGAAACAAAATGCAATGCTGAGAGGATTCAGAAATGAGGGGGTCACTTTCGAGTTCACGGAGATGTTATGTGAGCCTGGCTCAGAAGCCTGCCGTGGGAGGAGGGGGCTTAGACAGGTGGAGACAGAGACCATCCCAAGTGCAAAAACATGGATGCACAGATAAGGGTGAGGGGTGGTTAACAGTAGAGAGTCTTGTTTCCTGTAGAGAAAAAACTGGACTTTTGAAAAGTAAGTTAGGACAATATTGCAAAGTTGACAGATGGGCAATTAGGACAGGGACTTAGGCTTTGGAAGGAAGGTAGACCCCCTCCCCCAGCCCCAGTGCCAGGGTGATGTCATGAGAGCAGTATTTTTGAAGTAGGAAGAATGGCCTTTTTCTCCCCCGGTATGGGAGGGCGATCATCTGCTAAAGGTGATGGAGATAGGGCTGACAGCCAGAAGTAGAATTAACCAGGTTTGAAAGAGCTGCGGTGGGAATGTAGGCACTGCTTGAAATACCTACATACATACACGAATACATACACGAGTTCATGCTCATGCATACATGTGCACATGCAGGGACACACATACATTATACTGAGCAACAGCACCTTCCCAGACCAGGTAAGACAGGATGCCTCTAGAGGGCCTCATCCCCTATCCTCTGGCCTTGTGACCAACTGTGGGACTGTTCAACAACCCCAGTATGTGCCACCAGTTGGTTCTGTAAGTTAGTTATACGTTTAAAAAAATAATTCAGTTTGAAATTCCTCCCTCCCAGCAGCCCCACCTCCCTATGCCAAGCAGTTATAAACCACAAAACCCTGTGAGATGTGGGTGAATTTGCCATCTGTCTGGTATCAGACGGCCCTGGCTTAGCCAGTACCCTTTGCAGGCCACACATCTCTGAGCATAGCCCTGGGAAAGGGCATTCTTGCAGTGGAAAGCCCCCACAGATTCTGAAGTCACCACTTGCTGTGACCCAGACTGCCCAGGGCTAAGCTGCTCTTCTGGGTCACAGTTGAGAGAGCACACCTAGATCTTCATCCTGCCCCAGCTCATGTTCCAGTGAATGACTGACTTAGGTTTTTAGGTTTTTACTAGGGCAACTATTTAGTGGCCCCATTTGTATTATTTGTGAAGAATAAATGCTTCCTAAGGGTCTCTTTCGTAGCACATGGCATTCCTTGACTACTACCGGAAAATTGAATTTGTACTGAAAGGCAAAGGCTTAGCTGAGCAGCCAGAACAAGGGTCTCTTCCCCAGACTTGAGAATAAAAGACCAATACATGAAGCAACATTTATAGCTTTAAAAATACCTTACGTACTTCAATAACTATGTGGAAGCACTAAGAAAGATTCTGTATAAAACATCGCAAGTTTGGAAAAAATACATCTTTACATCTTTTCCTCCAGCTTCATTTTCTCAGAGGCAGGAGCAGGCCAGTGGTTTCCATACTGCGGCTCCTCTAGGAGCCACCTGAGAACCAAACCACCAATCCAGCATCTCCCACCCCATCATCCAGATCCTCCCGATGCCCTCTCATATGTGGGTTCTGTGACCCAGAAGCCTCCATAATGAACCACAGGAGAACACCATGGGCCAGCCAACAGTTAGGCTCTTCACATACCAAATAAACCACCACAGGAACCCTTAACCTCATCTACTGCCTGATCCAAACATCACTGCTTTGAACTCAATGGTCTTTCTTGAGCCTTTATGATCAATACATAGTGCACTTTTAGTCCCTCTGAAGCAGATTATGTTGTCACAATTATGACTCAACTTTAATAGTTTCAACCAGAAACTGTTTAGGATCCAACATACAAGAGAGTCAACTACATTTCATAATATTAGCCCATTTAAGAGTATTTTTCAAAGTGTGTTCTGTGGATGTTAATAGGTGATACTGTTCCAGAAGTTCTGTGGCAAACTAATCCAGGACTTCTCAGAACCTTTAATATATGTTTCATATACATTTACATTTCAGGCCTCTGAAAGGCAGAATCCTCAAATTTATTTATCCATGGAAGCTTTTTTTCCCCTCAGAGCAACTCACAGGACTACTTTGGGAAACACTGGCTAAGTGTTCCTAAGATCTCATGAAACCCCTTAGGGAAGTTTTATCCCAAACAGACCCAGATCATGTTTGTGTTAGAAACAAAAATTTCATCAACAGTTTAAGAAACTACTTACATGTGCCAGTATTCGTTAGTTACATATGAAAAACTCAGTTCAACAAGCGTAAGCAAACAAAAGCGTGTACCAGCCGATGTCACTGGAGCCCGGGCTGGCTGGGTCTCCTTCCATCTCTAGCTCTGCTTCCTCCTCCTGTTAACCTAGTTCTCAGGAGGAAATGACATCCTTGTGGTTTCAAAGCTGCTCAGGCACGTGGCCACCTTTGAACCAGGGATTTTGATCGGGGGACTCTCATTGGCCCGGCCCCGTTGGGTTCCTTGTCCCCTGGCCCCCACGGGAGTGAGGATGGCGCCATGGTGGAGAGCACCACCAGGACCACGTGGAGTTAGGGAGAGACTGTCCCCCTAAGAAAAACATAGGACCCCTGCAAGGCCCAACCACCTCTCCCATTAGAAGTTTTTCAGTCAGGCACAATGTCAAAAGTCAGCTTAGGGTGGAGACAAAGTTTGCAGGACAGGTGTCCCAGAATCATCCACATACCACCTACATATAGTAATACCCATGGCCAGTGTCATAATCAAGGGCCTTTTCTTACTTTGCTTCTGAAGCTGGTTTATTTCTGGTGCTCCAAACACAGGACTCTCATTAAAATCCACCAGTATATGCACAGATGCCTTGTGATTTTCCAGCTTTCATGGATTTTAAGGCCAGATGAGAAACATTTACAACATCCAGTTGTTCCTAGAGAGGTTAGCAAATGAAATAGAAAGCTGGGGATGACTGATGATTCTCAATCGTGAAGCTGTGTTTGGTACCGAAATGCTCCTAAAACTCACCCGCTCTGAACTACTTTGGGTTAGGGTCCCTTCCTGTCACCCATCCCTCACCACTCCCCATGGGGAGATCAGTTGCAGGAGAGGAATTCAAAGGGCTCATTCAGGATCATTGAAGAGAGGCTGTTTTTCCGAATCATGATCCCTAGTAATGACTATTGGCTTCCACATATCTATGATTGCTTCTTAAGATTTAAGAATTACTTCTACCCAACCTAAATGGTGATACCTCCCTAAAATACTTAAAAAAAAAAAAAAAAGCCTTTTATTTTCTTCTATAGACTTTCCTATTTTAAATGAACACACTTTTATAATCACAAAACAATGCATGTTATTTAGAATAAAGCAAAGTCATCATTGATTTTTTTTAAACTTTTAAAACACAATTCAAAATACCACCGCAGTTTCACTATAGGGAAAACTCACATTTTGAATGTTCTTCCAGGACAGAATAAAAATTTCCTAGTGACATCTGTTAGCCCTGGGGTCTCACGGAGGACAACCCGGGCAGCTGTCGTGTGGGAAAAGTCCCCTGAGGAAAGCCCAGAGGTTCTGGCTTTGGCTGCATCTGAGAATCACCTGGTGGGGAGCTTTGACAGTTCTCAGCGCTCAAACACACCCCAAATCAATTGGGCCCAGGCATGAGTATTTCTGGGAGTTCCCAGGTGCTCCCCGGATGCAGCCACGCTGAAGAACCACCGCACTGAGTAAGTTACCTTCCATTTTCCTCCTTCACAAATGCTCTAGGTTTCAGGCGGCCCCTTTGTGTGGATTCTGGGGGCCTTCTGTACACACAGCACTGTTGAGGGTCTCAGGCCTCACTGCTCCGAACAGGAAAGACTCGTGATTAGCACAGGGCCCTGTCAAGGTGAACATATCCTTCTCAGTGCAGGCCTGGCTGAACCCATCCTCCTCCACTAACTAACTGTCTCATCTCCTTTCTTGGGCCTCCCACAGGAGCTACAATGATAGCTGTTTCCTGGATTCCTCCCTCTATCCAGAACTAGCTGATGTCCAGTGGTACGGGCAGGAAAAAGCCAAGCCCGGGACCCTCGTGTGAGCCAGCCCGGCCTAATCTGACCGCCTCAACGCCATTCTGAGATCACCTCACTGCCTCTCATTTGCCTTACCCAGACGCACCGTCACCCTGCACCAGCTTTGGCCCTCAGCACTTTTTTTCTCCTGTCTCCGCATTCCCTCCCCCTTGAAAACCTGACTGAGGAGACATTCTGGAAGGTTCCGGTCCCACTGTGTGTCCCCTGGCGCTCTTGCCCATAGAGAGCCAGACACCAATCCTCAATGGCACCTTGGTGGCTTCCCTCTGCCATGACAGCCCCTAGGCCAGGAACCATCAGGGGGGCCAGCCGGCATCCAATTCCTGCGGATAAGTAGCGTTGGGAGAGAACGGGAAAGGGGACTTGAGTTACAGGGTGACCCAGAAAGACGATTCAGCTGTGTCCAGCCTGCCACCCATACGTAGGCCAACCAAGCACTTCATGAAGAGGAGGCCTCGTGGCATATTCAGTTTACACCTGAAATATTCCTTGATGGGACAGCTTGTGGGGATGGCTATGGGGGAAGGGGAGGTTGAGAAAGGAAGTTCTCGACACCAGAAATGCATCGGAGGAC